>NC_000010.11:11222121-11373636 GCF_000001405.40 Homo sapiens | reverse complement strand
TGGTGACACATGTGATGGCAGCTGGGAGAAAAGGAGTCCCGTGCTTAGGTGTTTGGGCTTAGTAACTAGAGGGAGGAGGTTGTCTTTTTTATTTTAAGTCACAGTCTTGCTGTATCACCCAGGCTGGAGTGCAGTGGCGCGAACTTGGCTCACTGCAACCTCCGCCTCCCAGGTTCAAGCAATTCTTGTGCCTCAGCCTCCTCAGTAGCTGGGGTTATAGGTGTGCACCACCGCACCTGGCTAATTTTTGTATTTTTAGTAGATAGGGGGTTTTGCAATGTTGGCCAGGTTGTCTCGGACTCCTGGCTTCAAGTGATCTGCCCACCTCGGCCTCCCAAAGTGCTGGGATTACAGGTGTGAACCACCATGCCCAGCCTGTTGTTATTAACTAAAAGGAAGGATCAGATATCAAGTTTTGACAGAAGTTTGAAAGGTGCCCAAAATCCTAGTGAAGTTGTTGATGAGGAGTCAGATATTCAAGTCTGGACTTGGGAAGAGAGATCTGGCTGGGCGTGGGGGCTCACGCCTATAATGCCAGCACTTTGGGGGGCCAAGGTGGGAGGATTGCTTGAGGTCCAGAGTTCAAAACCACCCTGGCCAACTTAACAAGACCTTGTCTCTACAAAAAAATTAAAAATTAACAGCATAGTGGCACATGTCTGTAGTCCCAGCTACTTGGGAGGCTGGGGTGGGAGGATCGCTTGATCGCTTGAGTTGAAGGCTGCAACGAGCTCTGATGGCGCCACCACACTCCAGCCTGGGCAACAGAGCAATACTCTGTCTCTAAAAAGCAAAAAAAAGAGATATCAGTCAGGAGTTGTCTATTTGTGGGTGATTTTTCACTCATCAGAGGAATGGGCACCAATGGAGTGTGGAGGAACATTGAGGACTGAGCCCCGGGGCTGCCAATGTTTGGAAATTAAGAAGATCAAAGGTGCCCACAAAGAGGACAGAATATGAACGACCAGGTAAGGAAGGAAGAAATGATTCTAATGTCTAAGTAGAAACCACTGGGAATCATAATTCAAAATCTAGCTCAGGCCAGGTGT
Organism: Homo sapiens; assembly: GCF_000001405.40. Lineage (NCBI taxonomy): Eukaryota > Metazoa > Chordata > Mammalia > Primates > Hominidae > Homo > Homo sapiens. The sequence continues at coordinate 11,372,587 of NC_000010.11, read as the reverse complement.
GGTGGCTCACACCTGTAATCCCAGCACTTTGGGAGGCTGAGGCCAGAGGATCACCTGAGGTCAGGAGTTTGAGACCAGCCTGGCCAACATGGTGAAACCCCATCTCTCCTAAAAATACAAAAATTAGCCGGTCATGGTGGCATGTACTTATAGTCCCAGCTACATGGGAGGCTGAGACACGAGAATTGCTTGAACCCGGGAGGCGGAGGTTGTAGTGAGCTGAGATCACACAACTGTACTCCTGCCTGGGCAACAGAGTGAGACTCTATCTCAATAAAACAAAAAAATAATAAAAAATAAAAAATAAAGTCTAGCTCAGTCTCCTCTTCTGGGTGTCCTCCATAACCACTTTACCTCCACTGCTCTTCCCCTCCTGTGAGCCTCTCCTGTAGCTTCTATACAACCGCTCCTTGGGTGTGTCTCACATACTGTCTTGGGTCAACCAGTGGTCCCAAGAGGAGGCCGGCTCAGTGGTGTGGTAGTTCACACCTGTAATTCCAGCTCTTTGGGAGACCCAGGCAGGGGGATCAGTTGAGGCCAGGAGTTGAAGGCTAACCTGGGCAACATACTTGCCCTGTTAGAGACCCTGTCTCTAAAAACAAAATTAAGAATTAACAGAGCATGGTGGTGAGTGTCTGTAGTCTCAGCTACTCAAGAGGCTGAGATGGGAGGATCGCTTGAGGTTGGGAGGCCGAGGCTGCAGTGAGCTATGTTTGCACCACTGCATTCCAGCCTGGGCGACAGACAGAGACCCTGTCTCTAAACATAAAAAAAACAAAAAGGGGCCAGGTGCGGTGGCTCACACCTGTAATTCCAGTACTTTGGGAGGCTGAGGCAGGCAGATCACCTGAGGTCAGGAGTTCGAGACCAGCCTGGCCAACATGGTGAAACTCCGTCTCTACTAAAAATACAAAAATTAGTTGGGCGTGGTGCCGGGTACCTGTAATCCCAGCTACTCAGGAGGCTGAGGCAGAAGAATTGCTTGAACCTGCGAGGCGGAGGTTGCAGTGAGCCGAGATCACACCATTGCACTCCAGTCCAGGCAACAAGAGTGAAATCCTGTCTAAAAAATAATAATAAGATAAAAAATAGAGAAAGAAGAATGTCTTTGGCTTTCTGAAGGAAAGCCTCAGGGAAGACCCATAGGTTCCCCAACCTTCATCCCACCCAATACCTGAGTCACCGTACGGACAGCACCCATGGGCTCCTGACTATGGCTCACTGGTTGGGCAAAACCTTTCCCTCCCTTTGTTCCTTGGGAAACGTAGGAGGTGGTGTGTGGCTTCTTCCAGAGAACACGTAGGGACTCTAGAGCTGAACCCAAGGAATGAGGCTGTGTTCCCTGGGGACCCTCCAGCAGCCCAGGTCACCCTCACACATTTGCAGATAGATCCAGAGCCTCTGACCTCATCGTGCACTCCCGAGATCAGCCATGCACAGCGGCATTCTCCAGGCTGCAGTCACGGAGAACCACTGTCAATTCTCCCGTCAAAGACCATGGCATTCGCCCTCGAAGTGAAGCCCAAGATGGCGGATGAGGAGTGGGGATGCTTAACAAGTTACCTGACGCCTCTGTCACCGGATTTTCTCTGGGCCAACTATGCTGTTAGCTTTTGTCCTTGAGGTTCATTCACATGTCGAGAAAGCTCTAGTCCAGGCACATTTTCCTTCTGTGTGGTCCCTATGGCCAGGATGTTCCCCGAGAACCACCGTTGTTTCTCTTTCTGTGAGGACATCACCATAATTTTTTTTTTTTTTTTTTGAGACAGGGTCTCATTCTGTGGCTCAGGCTGGGTTCAGGTGATCCCCCGACCTCAGCCTCCCAAGTAGCTGGCGCTACAGGTATACCACCATGCCTGGCTAATTTTTTGTACTTTTTTTTTGTAGAGACAGGGGTTTCATCATGTTGCCCAGGTTGGTCTCAAACTCCTGAGCTCAAGTGATCTGCCTGCCTCCTTCTCCCAAAGTGCTGGGATTACAGGCGTGAGCCACTGTACTGGGCAGTCCTCTTTTTGTGCTGTTCGTGATGCATTTGTTGTCACTTTCTCTACCTCTCCCCCTGTATTTTTTTTTCTTTTTTTTGAGATGGAGTCTCGCCTTGTCACCCAGGCTGGAGTGCAGTGGCCCCACCTCGGCTCACCACAAGCTCTGCCTCACAGGTTCAAGCGATTCTCCTGCCTCAGTCTCCCGAGTAGCTGAGATTACAGGCACCCACCACCATGCCTGGCCAATTTTTTGTATTTTTAGAAGAGATGGGGTTTCACCATGTTGGCCAGGGTGGTCTTGAACTCCTGACCTCAGGTGATCCACCCACCTCGGCCTCCCAAAGTGTTGGAATTACAGGCATGAGCCACTGCATCAGGCCTGTATTTCTGCACCAAGTCTTTGAGGCAGGATCGATGTCCTCTGTTGTTCTGTAAATCTGCTCTTCATATTGCAGCCAGAGGACTGACCCCTCTTTAAAGCTCCAAGGCCATGTGCTTTTTCTTAAAACCAGGACTCAAAACAGTGCCCTGCACACAGTTGAGCTCAATGGTGGTTTGAATGAAGGGAACCCTTTGAAAATGCTCTCTCTTTGCCTTCAGCCTCTACAAAGATAAGACCTTTGTGGCCATGACTTTGTCATGGACTTTCTCCTACCTAGCTAGCAGAGGAGGTCTGACTCTTGCAGCCAGCTTCCCTGTGGTTTCTGCTTTCTGTTGTAGGGGCAAAAAGAAGGCCTCTCCTTCACTCTCAGAAGGTTTGCTGAAAAATCAACTCACAAAAAGCAAGTTAATGGGAGAAAAGGCATATACATTTATGGTTAACATGTGCACGGGAGCCTTCAGAATGAAGACCACCCCCAATGCAGAAGCTTGTATACCATCTGGAAGACCATCCCCATGCAGAGGCTCATATACCATCTGGAAGACCACCCCCAATGCAGAAGCTTGTGTACCATCTTGGAGACCACCCCCAATGCAGAAGCTTGTGTACCATCTTGGAGACCACCCCCAAGGCAGAAGCTCATATACCATCTTAGAGACCACCCCCAATGCAGAAGCTTGTATACCATCTTAAAGACTACTCCCAAGGCAGAAGCTCATATACCATCTGGAAGACCACCTCGGTGCAGAAGCTTGTATACCATTTTAAAGACCAACCCCCATGCAGAAGCTTGTATACCATCTTGGAGACCACCCCCAATGCAGAAGCTTGTATACCATCTTGAAGACCACCCCCATGCAGAAGCTCATATAACATCTGGAAGACCACCTCCATTGTGAAGCTTGTATACCATCTTGAAGTTACAGAAGGAATGTGGGCTCAGAGCATGGTCAAAAATAGTGGTAAATCAGGTTATAGTGGCCAGATGGTTATGGAAGGGGGAGAAGAAAAGGCCTGGCTAGCAAAGCCGGTCTTATTATGTAGATGAAAGCTCACAGGTAGCAGCCCCCAGAGAGAATAGATGGGAAATGTTTCTTTCTGACGTTTAAAGGTCTCAGTCTCTCAGTTCATCTTTTGTAGTTCTAGACAAGGGAAGGTCTGGCTGCATCATTGCAGACTTTTCTACAGATGCACATTTTCCCCAAAAAAGACAGCTTTGCAGGGCTGCTTCATTGAGCTGGCCCTCTGACAGCTATCTCAAAATATGTCAAAGAAATATATTTTGGAGTAGAAAATGTTTTGATTTCCTTCACTGTCATCCAGGTTTATATAATATTCAGTCATTTAGGCTGTTCCCTCCTCTTCCCCCAATTCAGACACAGATCCTGGACAAGGCCCATGGTGAGAGAGCTGGGCAGAGCTTGGGCCACTTCCCCTGCTGTGGACACCATCCTGGGAAGGACTACATTTTAGTGACAGCACAGTGGAGTAAGATGAGCAAGATGCTGGTGACAGACCCAGCACTTGTGTGGTCTTGGGGATTACTCAGTCTCTTCAAGCCTCAGTTTCCCTGTTGAATATTGAAGATAAGAACCATGACTCAAAGTTGATTGCGTGACATAGGTAAATATCCGGCATGATTTTGCCATAGTAGGTGTAATGGGTTTGTTACTGGAAAGGGGCCCTGATCCAGACCCCAAGAGTGGATTCTTGGATTTCATGCAAGAAAGACTTTGGGGCAAGGCCGTAAAGTGAAAGCAAGTTTGTAAAGGAAGTCAAGAAGCAAAAGGAACAGCTACTCCGTAGGCAGAGCAGTGTCATGGGCTGCTCAACGGAGAATGCTTATGGTTGTTTCCTGATCGTTTGCTAAAAAGGGAGCAAAGAAGTGAGGAAGTGAGGAAGTAGGCAGGGCTGAGAAGTCTCGAGCCCCACCTAAGATACCTGAGGCAGCTCCCACACCTCCTGCCAGGGAAAGAGGCCAGGGCCCTGAGTACACGGTGTGGTGATGGCAGCCTGGGCTTGGGCCGGCTCCAGCATCCGCCTCCCCTCCCCAGCCTTCCTCCCTGGGGAGTCCCACCTTCACTGCACCCATCTATCCCTCCTGCCCTCCTGATGAAGTCAGGAGGAGCACGGTTGGCGGCGAATCCCCTCTGCAGGGATTCTGAATTTTCTCCTGAAGGCAGTGATAAGCCGGTGAAGAACACTAAGCAGGAAGTGGTATTAGCAGATTCGCCTCTAAAAAAAATCACCAGAGGCTTGTGAGAAGGACATATGACCATGGCAGGCCAGGGGAGGGCTGGATCAGGGTTCCAGGGGAGGCCTGGGGACAGAGCGAGCTCAATGGAGAGGAGGAGAAGCTGGAGGGATTTGAGCCATTTGCAGAGGCGAGCATGGACGGGAGGCTGAGATTGGAGGTGTGGGGAGGGGAGTGGGGTTCTACACACTGTGCTCTTGAATAAACCAGGGCCTGGTGCCCTGTGGGCACCGAGTGCACACTTGTCCCCAGCGCCTCCTGCTGGCCCTCCCTGGAGGCACCGGCACTCCCGTGTGTGCTTGGGGTCTGGAGGAGCCGCAGTCATCAAGGCCCCATCAGCCCATCCACCAGGATGCGCCTGGACTTTCCCTTCCATTTGGAAATCCTGCAGATGTATCACTGATTGGCCACACAAGAGCTATGACTCCCTAACTCCATGTAATGTGTAATGATAGCAGCACAAGCCTAAAATTACCGAGGACAAGGAGCTGCGGAATAATTATAGGGTGCTTTGTTACTTGGAGGATTTTTTTCTTTTTAAAGCTGATTCCATTAAAAGCACCAGTTTGGTGGGTGGGTGGGGACAGCAGGTGGCCAACGGATGAGAGAGACTGATGGGTGAGTTCAGCTTCCTCGGGGCTTCAAGACAGGAGAAGTGGCCCAGGATGAGGGAGGGAGATCTGTGTGGCCCCCTCAGTCCCATGTTTGAATGGCCCTCCAACCCTCCTTAGCAAATAGCATCATTGCAGCCTCCCAGGTTGGCGAGGGGGTTGGAGGTGGGAAGGAGTTGGGAGGAGAAGGGGGAGGGGAATGGCATTCCTGGGCAGCTCTGGGATCACCATGATATAGTGCAATGCAATGGCAACCAGACTCCACCCAACACCACACCACGACTCAGCAATCCATGCATGACCTTATACAATGACTCAGCTCCTAATCCATGCATGACCCTACACCACAACTCAGCTCCTAATCCATGCATGACCCTACACCACAACTCAGCTCCTAATCCATGCGTGACCCTACACCACAACTCAGCTCTTAATCCATGTGCGACCTTACACCACAACTCAGCTCCTAATCCATGCATGACCCTACACCACAACTCAGCTCCTAATCCATGCGTGACCCTACACCACAACTCAGCGCTTAATCCATGTGCGACCTTACACCACAACTCAGCTCCTAATCCATGTATGACCCTACACCACAACTCAGCTCTTAATCCGCGCATGATCTTACACCACAACTCAGCTCTTAATCCATGTATGACCCTACACCACAACTCAGCTCTTAATCCATGCATGACCTTACACCACAACTCAGCTCTTAATCCATGCATGACCTTACACCACAACTCAGCTCTTAATCCATGCATGACCCTACACCACAACTCAGCTCTTAATCCATGCATGACCTTACACCACAACTCAGCTCTTAATCCATGCATGACCCTACACCACAACTCAGCTCTTAATCCATGCATGACCCTACACCACAACTCAGCTCCTAATCCATGCATGACCCTACACCACAACTCAGCTCCTAATCCATGCATGACCCTACACCACAACTCAGCTCCTAATCCATGCGTGACCCTACACCACAACTCAGCTCCTAATCCATGCGTGACCCTACACCACAACTCAGCTCTTAATCCATGCATGACCCTACACCACAACTCAGCTCCTAATCCATGCATGACCCTACACCACAACTCAGCTCCTAATCCATGCATGACCCTACACCACAACTCAGCTCTTAATCCATGCATGACCCTACACCACAACTCAGCTCTTAATCCATGCATGACCCTACACCACAACTCAGCTCCTAATCCATGCATGACCCTACACCACAACTCAGCTCTTAATCCATGCATGACCCTACACCACAACTCAGCTCCTAATCCATGCATGACCCTATACCACAACTCAGCTCCTAATCCATGCGTGACCCTACACCACAACTCAGCTCTTAATCCATGCATGACCCTATACCACAACTCAGCTCTTAATCCATGCATGACCCTACACCACAACTCAGCTCTTAATCCATGCATGACCCTACACCACAACTCAGCTCCTAATCCATGCATGACCCTACACCACAACTCAGCTCTTAATCCATGCATGACCTTACACCACAACTCAGCTCTTAATCCATGCATGACCCTACACCACAACTCAGCTCTTAATCCATGCATGACCCTCCACCACAACTCAGCTCTTAATCCATGCTTGACCCTATACCACAACTCAGCTCTTAATCCATGCATGACCCTACACCACAACTCAGCTCTTAATCCGTGCATGACCCTCCACCACAACTCAGCTCTTAATCCGTGCATGACCCTCCACCACAACTCAGCTCCTAATCCATGCATGACCCTCCACCACAACTCAGCTCTTAATCCGTGCATGACCCTACACCACAACTCAGCTCCTAATCCATGCATGACCCTATACCACAACTCAGCTCCTAATCCATGTGCGACCTTATACCACAACTCAGCTCTTAATCCATGCATGACCCTCTACCACAACTCAGCTCTTAATCCATGCATGACCCTCCACCACAACTCAGCTCCTAATCCATGCATGACTTTATACCACAACTCAGCTCCTAATCCGTGCATGACCCTACACCATGAATCAGCTCCTAGTCTATGCATGACCCTACACCAGGACTCAGCTCCTACATGACACAGGACACTACACCACAATACAGCTCCTACCCCATACACAACACTGCACTCCTGTTATACCTTGCCCCAGTGCAGTAAGACCAGATATCTACACCGAGGTTTGCAGCAGGAGAAAGGAAGGCTTTTATTTGCAGGGTGCCAAGCAAGGAGGACCAGGCAGCTCACACTTAAGTCCCAACCTCCCAGAGGGCTTACAGGTTAGGCTTTTTAAAGGCAGGGAGGCAGAGGTTATGGGCAAAGTCATAAATCAATACAAGGCAGCTATCCATTGCATTGAACTAAAAAGTGGGGACATCTCCAGGCAGGGGGGCCTACAGGCCATAGGTGGATTTAAGGATTTTCTGATTTGCAATTGGTTAGGGAGACAAAGTTTTGTCTAAAAATTTCAGATCAGCTGGGCGCGATGGCTCACGCCTGTAATCCCAGTACTCTGGGAGGCCGAGGTGGGAGGATCACCTGAGGTCAGGAGTTTGAGACCAGCCTGGCCAACATGGTGAAACCCACCTCTCTACTAAAAATACAAAAAATTAGCTGGGTGTGGTGGGGCACGCCTGTAATCCCAGCTACTTGGGAGGCTGAGGAAGGAGAATTGCTGGAACCTGAGAGGCAGAGGTTGCAGCGAGCCAAGATTGTGCCATTGCTCTCCAGCCTGGGAGACAGAGTGAGACTCCCTCTCAAAAATAAACATAAAATACAATAAAAATTTCAGATCAACAGAAAAGAATGTTAGCTCCAGCTCATGGGTGTGACTTCCTCCAGGCCCCTCAGGAAGGAATTTAGAACAAAGAACAGGGATCAGAGCTGAATCCTCTGCTCCCCTTATCTGAGGTCTGTTTGCCAGTGAGTCTGCCTGGTGGGGGTCTGGGTTTCTGTAAAACAACTCAGGGACATATGTTAAGATGTTATCTTTAGTCTCTAAAGGGAACCAAACATTTTTGACTCTAACTTTTTTGGCCATTGTTTTAAGCCACTATTACCTTCTTGTTTCCTGAATTGTTTATTTTTTAAGGCTAGCTGGGTACCTGGAATTTTAAGTTGTTTGTTTATTTTTTAGGGCCAGCTAGATACCTGAAATTGTTCTTGAAGGAATTTAAGATTTTTTTTTTTTTGAGATGGAGTCTTGCTCTTTCTCCTAGGCTGGAGTGCAATGGTGCAATCTCCGCTCAATGCAACCTCAGCCTCCTGGGTTCAAGCACTTCTCCTGCTTCGGCCTCCTGAGTAGCTGGGATTACAGGCGCCCACCACCACACCTGGCTAATTTTTTGTATTTAGTGGAGATGAGGTTTCACCATGTTGGTCAGGCTGGTCTTGAACTCCTGACCTCAGGTAATCCACTTGCCTTGGCCTCCCAAAGTGCTGGGATTACAGGTGTGAGCCACCACGCCAGGCCTAAGATTTTAAAAAATGTCCACGTTTGGGTGTGGGGAGGGTGTGCCCAGCAGGCCCTTAACAGGGGGTTCCTGCTCCGTCTCACTGCAACACAGCTCCTACACCACACTCCACAGTCCACCACAACTCAGCTCCTACACCATGCACAACCCCATGCGTGACACTTAACACACATGAGGCCACACTTAACAACTACGCCCCAACTGTGACACACCTCCTGTGCTGAACTCCACCCTCGCCCCAGCCCTCTGCCCTGCCCCATCACATGCTTCCCACGGATCCCCTTGGCTCTGACCTAGCAAAGGCCCCAGGCTGGACATCAGAAGGGGCCCTTAGGAGCAGAGCAGAGGATGGAGGGTGCTTGCTGTGACCACCAGCCCCGGCTGTATCTGTAACCCTGAGGACGTGAAGCTGGAGAGGGCCATCCTGTGTGTGCAGCCTTCCTCAGAGCCTTCCTGCGCCAGCATCCGCGCTCTCCCTGGTCACGCTCTACCTGTGCTCAGCTATTGTTTGTGGCATTGTCGTTCTTCCTCTATGCAGAGCTCCCTGGTCCTTGCAGTTGCTCTGCCGGTGACAGCTTCCCCAGGGCTGCTGCGGGGCTGAGCAGTGCCCCTTGCCTGGGTGCACAGGCACCAAGGGGCCCTCTGCATCTCCCACCTCAAGGTTTTGCACAGTAGGTAGCCAGGAAAGGCTTCCTGGATGGAGTACTGGGCTGAAGTGGGACTTGGCTGTAAGATGCAGGAAATCCACTGAGAGGGGACTCTGTGGTGTCCCCTCATTCTCCGGTGAGTTCCAGGCTGAGAGTGGTTACCCAGAGGCCGTCCCCGTGCCTCTAAGATTGCTGTGCAGGGGCCACCTCAGTTCTGTCCTTCTCTCACAGGACCTTGTGCCGACTTTGAAATGAAATTGTCTGCTCCCACCCCTCTCTTCAACTTCTGTGCACCATTATTAATTTGCACTTCCTATGGCTGGGCATGGTGGCTCACACCTGTAATCCCAGCACTTTGGGAGGCTGAGGTGGGTGGATCACCTGCAGTCAGGAGTTCGAGACCAGCCTGGCCAACAAGACGAAACCCCATCTCTACTAAAAATACAAAAAATTAGCCAGGCATCATGGCGGGTGCCTGTAATCCCAGCTACTCGGGAGGTTGAGGCAGGAGAATCGCTTGAACCTGGGAGATGGAGGTTGCCATGAGCTGAGATCGCACCACTGCATTCTAGCCTGGGCAACAAGAGGGAAACTCTGTCTCAAAAATAATAATAATAATAATTTGCACTTCCTTAACATAATGCTTCTGAAGGGTTTCAGTTAGCTCTAGCCATGAGTGTCCGTGTGGATTCTTTCCCCTCAATGGGCCTCTGCAATGGTCTCACCACCGTGGGACCTCACCATGCCAGCCAGGGCTCTGTGCTCAGGGACCTGTGCCTTGTGAATGTCCCTGGACAGTCATTAATTGGAACCACTTTTGAAAATGCTCTCCCTCATGCCCATTGTGGTGTGAATTACACAGCAGTGATCCCTTCGAGGAGCTGTGTAATGCTTAGGCCACGTCCATTCGGCCCATTCATGGCATCAGACAGACCCACACTTAGCAGAGCCCAAAAAGTCAGGCACATTCCTCCCCCCAGGCCCCTTCCTGGTGCTGTGGAGAAGTGACAGGGAATATTCTTGACTTAGACTGCCAGTTCAGGAGAGGAAGAGAGAGCTGGGGTCCAAGAAAATTTCCCCCAGCGTTACTGGTAGCAGGTTGTGTGGGCCAGGTTTGCCAGGATGGTGGAGAGCCATCCACCAGAATGGGGTGGGAGTGTTTTGGCTGGATTTGGGGTATCATAAAAGCAGTTATTTGAATGGCCCAATTGCTGGTTTGATTGAAGTATAAGATCTCCATTTCTAGGTTTCCAGAAGGAAGGGCAGAAGCCCAGCATTAATGGCATCAATGTGGCAGTTCAGATGGGTTCCCTGTCCACACAGCCATGGGTCTTTCTTTCTATGGTGGAAGGTGGGTGTTTGGAAGTCTAGAGTCAAAGCCATCTAGAGGATGATCTCCCAAGACATTGTCTTCTCTTCAGGGTCAGAAGAAATTAATTACCAAAGGGGAAGGGAGGAAACCAACACTATGCTTTTTAATTGCTTTTCCCTCAGAACAATAGGGTTTTTCACTCTATAGTTTTCATGAAAGCCCTCTTCACCCCAGCCCATCCCTACTCTCCCACAATCCCAGAAATAACCATTGTTAACAGTTGGTATATATACTTCTCCTTCTATCTAGATGCATAGTTAGATGCATAGGGATATATATGTACACGCATAATTTAAAAAATCACATAAGCAGGTCAATACTATATACAGACGTTCCCCAACTTACAGTGTTTTTATTTTATGATGGTATAAAAGTGATACCCATTTCACAGAAACCATACTTTGAACACCCATTCTGCTTTTCACTTTCAGTACGCTAGTCAACAAATTCCATGAGATATTCAACATTTTAGTGTAAAATAGGCTTTGTACGAGATGATTTTGCCCCACCATAGGCTAATGTGAGTGTTCTGAGCACGTTTAAGGTAGGCCAGGCTGAGATGTTCAGTAGGTTAGGTGGACTAAATGTATTTTCAACTTACAATATTTTCAACTTTCGATGTGTTTATTGGGACGCAACCCCCTGTTAGTCAAGGAGCACCTGGATTGTTCTGTAGACTGGTTTGTTTCACTTGACAGTGTGGCCCAGGGATCTTTCCATGTCACTCTATATATGTGTGTACTTCATCACTACATAGTATTTTATATCGTGGATGGCTCATAATTTATGTTACCACTTCCATATCAATTATTTCTAATTTTTTTTGAGATGGAGTCCCACTGTGTTGCCGAGGCTGGAGTGCAGTGGTGTGATCTCAGCTCACTGCAACCTCTGCCTCCCAGGTTCAAGCGATTCTCCTTCATCAGCCTCCCAAGTAGCTTGGATTACAGGCACCTGCCACCATGCCTGGCTAACATTTTTTTGTATTTTTAGTAGAGATGGGAGTTTCGCCATGTTGGCCAGGTTGTCCTCGAACTCCTGACCTCAAGTGATCTGCCTACCTTGGCCTCCCAAAGTGTTGGGATTACAGGCATGAGCCATCGTGCCAGGCCTCCAGTTTTTTTGATATTACAAATGATCCTATGGTGTCTGGCAATGCATTTTCCTGCAAGTAATAAACAATCCAATTATAATCTTTCAACATAATTCTTCCCTCTGTCCTTGGATCTTCCTTCCTTCCCGCCTCCCTTCCATCCTTCCTTCTTGTCAGGGTAACAGGACATCTGCCGGTAGACAGTCCAGGGCTGGGGCTGCCGCCAACAGATGTTAGGAAGGAAGCAGCCTTTTTCTGTTTTGCCCTCCTAGGGTGTGGCTTGGTCCTCCTGGTCACAAGTCAGTTGACATATCTTGGCTGCACCTGTATTTCAGCCAGGAAGGAAGATGCCCAAAGGTAAAAGAGTCAAGCCAAACACTTTCTTCTTTTGAGACACTGCATTTGGGGGCTGGGTGGGGAGGATGGAGGAAAAGCCCCCTTCACAGGAACTGTTTCTATTCAAATGGCCAGACTGTGCACATGGCGATCTGAGGCTTAAAGGAGGCTGGGGATAGATAGGTTTCATTTTATAGGCTCAGCTGTAGAGGAAGACAAGGAAGATCATGGCTGGAATGGTAGATGAACCAGGCTTGGAGTACAACTGCCACAGGACATGTGTGAATAGGGGTGTTGGAGAGATTCCTAGAACTGGATTTGTTGTCAACAGCTGCTTGGCATGGTACTCAAGGCCTGAGACCTGGAGTGTTACCTTCTTCTCTTTCCTACAAGTCCCTCTGACTCAGCCCAGTGTCTTCATTTCTGACCTCTCAGTTGCACCCATGCCTGAACCACACTCTCCTAGAAGGTCCGTGCGGCTTCTGTGCACCAATACCCTCTGAGGTTCATTCTGTCTTCCATTTTCCCTGGAGCATGTGCTGGCCAACGTGGCTGGGCAAAATGTTTCTTTCTCGAAACTTAGAGGCTGCATGCTTTCACCCTTCTTCTCCCTCCTCTCCCCTTACATCTTTCATAGAATTATTACCAAGGGTCTGTTTGGCTGAGGAACTAAGGAGGAAAAAAACATCAACGAAGAAGAAAGAACCAAGGCCACAGGCTAGATTCAGAGCCAATGCCTCCCACTTGGAGATGCAGGGATCTGTTCTCAATCAAGTCCTCATGGATTTGTGCCAACGTTCTGGAGAAGAGGGGCTTCAAATAGAAAGTGAAAAGGCAATTTCACTGGGAGACCCTCTGGTCCCTCAGCAATCACTGTTCCAACAACAGTTACTGTTGGAGCTCCTGGGAGCAGCAGGCAGAGTGGGAAGCGGGAGAGGAAGCCACCACAGAGCCCCGTGGTTCCCAGCACCATGGGGTGACACATGGGGTTTGTGGGCAGCAGAGGCCTTGGCACAAACATCAGACCCTTGGTGGCAGTGGGCAGGGAGCCAGAGGAGGGGAGGTGGAGGATGGCCTGTCACAGTGTCTGGGAAGATGTGCCCACACACCCACGTGAGCTATCCTCAGGGGCAGGGTGAGCTGCTGGTTGGTGTTGAGGCCCTGGAATAGCAGATGAGAGGGAGCAAGACAAATCCTGTTTTATGGCTGCTATGTTTGTCTTCAGCTATTTGAGCTGCTATAACAAAATGCCACCAACTGGGTAGCTTATCAGCTACAGACGTTTATTGCTCACAGTTCTGGGGGCTGGGAAGTCCAAGATCAAGGCACTGGCAGACTGGATGTCTGGTGAGGGCCCATTTCCTGGTGTGTACATGGTCATCTTCTCACTGTATCCTCACATGGCAGAAGGGGTAAGCCAGCTCTCTGGGGCCCCTTTTCTAAGGACACTAATCTTATTCTTGAGGGCTCTACTTTTGTGACCTAATCTCCTCCAAAAGGCCCACCTCCTAATGCTATCATCTTGGGAGTTAGAATTTCAACATATGAGTTTTGGAGGACAAAGATATTGAGACTATAGAGATGTTGATTCTGTCTTTTTTTTTTTTTTTATGGGACAACTTGGATCACGTATGCAGATGTTGTCTGCAGGTATAGATGGTAGGTCCCTGGAGGTCCAGCTTTCACTGTTGTAGCTGCTTCCTTGCTGTGGAAGTTGCTTTCTTCGTGACTTCAGCTACATTTTGCAGCAAGATAATTTTGGAGAGTATACCAGGAAGCAGCAGTTCTCAAAGCTGGATATTCTCTGGGTGCTTTGTTTCAACAGTCTGAGAGTATCTTTTGATTAGATATGCCTTCAACTTTTTCCAGGCTAAAATGACCATATCCCTGCTCTCTGGAGTGGAATTTTGGAGCTTCTGTCTGATATGAATTTCCAAATTATTTTCTATGGAGAGTTGGCTTTTTTTTCTTTTTTTAATTCCTGTTAAATTTTCTTGAGATAACGATGGGTTTACATGCAGTTTCAAGAAATAATATGAAGAGTATACCCTTTAACCAGTTCCCCCAGTGGTAACATCTTGCAAAACAATGGTACAGGATCATAGCCAGGATACTGACATTGACAAAGTCAAGGAAGTTACAGAACGGCTTTATTACCACAGGGATCCCTGTGTTGGCTTTTCATAACCACCGTCCGGATGCTTCTACCCCTCCTTAACTACCAGCAACCACTAATCTGTTCTTCATTTCTGCAATGTCATTTCAACAGTGTCCTGTAAATGGAATCAATGCTGTATATAACCTTTTGGGATTGGCTTTTCTCACTCTGCATAATTCCCTCTAGATCCATTAAATGGCTGAGCATGTGAGTAGTTCACTCAGTTTCACTGGTGAGTAAGAGTGATCTCTTTCAAGTTAACATCGGATCCCATTGCTCCACGGCTTCTCTCTCCAGTAGCCCATGGAATGACAGCCAAGCTCCTTGCACGGGGACTTTGACCCCTGCCTGGCTCTCCAGCCTCCATGACATCCGCTCGCTGCTGGTTTGCTTTGCTCCAGTCACCTGGGTTTCTTGCCAGTATATAAATTCTCAGTGTTTTTCTGCTTATCCTTCCTCCCCTACCCTAGTCTTTGACTTTACAGTTTCCTCTGCCTGGAATAGAAATAAGAGCAAACATTGACAGGGTCCTCCTTGCATGCCAGGCATTGCTGTCACTTATTCAGGCCAACTATTTCATCTAGCGCCCCTATGAGGCAGATGCCATTATTATGCTGCTATAGACACGGCAGAGACGTTCTGTCATTTGCCCAGGGTCACACATAGGTTACACAGCAGAGCAGGATTTGGTTCCAAGTAGTCAAGCCCTGCAGCTGTGCTCTGTAGCCCCAGGGTGTACAGGGGCCTCAGCTCCTGTCCCCATGCCTGCAGCCCCAGCCCTTTCCTGTCATTCAAGCATCTCCACAGAAAGCTTTCTCTAACCATCAGCCCTAAGCAAGTACGATCTCTCTTGCTGTCATATTTTATTTTCTTTCCTCTGTTTTTATACATTTACTACTTATTTGTGGGTCCATATGTATATTATGTGGTATTGGTTTTTTGTTTAAACAGGTTTTTAAACTTTAAGCAAAGGACCACATACTGTATGTATCACTATGCCACTTGGTTCTTGGCTCAACATTGTTCTTGAAATTTGTGTATGTTGAAGAGGTGGCTCTTATTTGTTTGTTTTATTTAGAGACAGGGTCTTGCTCTGTCCCCCAGGCTAGAGTGCAGTAGTGCTATCATAGCTCACTGCAGCTTTGATTTCTTGGGCTCAAGTGATCCTCTTGTCTTAGCTACAGGCATGCGCCATCATTCTTGGCTAATTTTTATTTTTATTTTCTTTTGTAGGGACAGGGTCTCGCTATGTTGCCCAGGTTGAACTTGAACTCCCAGCCTCAAGCGATCCTCCCACCTCAGCCTTCCAAAGCACTGGGATTACAGGCATTAGCCACCACACCTGGCCTACAGTGAACAATCTTGTTTCCAGGTTTTTACTATTATAAACAGCAGTGCAGTGAACAATCTTAGACTTTTTTTTTTTTTGAAGAAATTGGCATTAAAAAGTATCTTTCTTTCTTTCTTTTTTTGAGACAGAGTCTCTCTCTGTCACCCAGGCTGGAGTGCAGTGGCATGATCTCTGCTCACTGCAACCTCTGCCTCCTGGGTTCGAGCGATTCTTGTGCCTCAGACTCCTGAGTAGCTGGGACTACAGGCGCCTGCCACCACACCTGGCTAATTTTGGTATTTTTAGTAGAGACAGGGTTTCACCGTGTTGGCCAGGCTGGTCTCAAACTCCTGGCCTCAAGTGATCCGCCTGCTTTGGCCTCCCAACATGCTGGGATTACAGGCATGAGCCACCGCACCTGGCCTAAAAGGTATCTTTAAATTATGGAAATTATATAAAAAATATAAGTAAGAGAATATTCAACTTTACTAAGTAGTGCCAAGTTTCTATCCAAGGAGTATCTTACCAGTTTATTCTTCCATCAGAAGTTTAAGACTTTTTCTCCACATTAAATAGTCAGATTTTTGTTTTGAAAAGATTACTCAAGTTGCAAAGTAATCTTTTCAAAACAACTATGCCTACATCTCAATTTCAGCCCAGTGAGCCCTATTGTAGACTTTTGACCTCCAAAGTTGTATCATCATAAATTTGTGTTGTTGTTAAGCTGCTAAGTTGAGGGTAATTTGTTACAGTAGCAATAGGAAGCTAATACAAGCCTGTATTCGTCTGTTCTCATGGGGAGGAATGAGGGGGAATGCAGGAAGGGCCCAGGCAAATGGAGAATTAAGAGCTGGGCCAGGCAAGTTTCTTCTGCTGAAAACTTGCAGTGGAGAACTGTCCCTGCAGCACGATACCGCCTTTTGATGTTTTCCATTATATTGGCATCGGGCGGACAAGAATAGAATTATCTGCTTGTCAAGTGTTAACAATCAAATATCAAATTGTGTGGGAGGCCCAACAGCTACTCTTTGTAGAAAATTATTATTTATTTTTTATTTAACAGAACTCGAGGTTGAGAGGCTGCCCCACAGTGGCCTTCTGTGGCGCTGGTGTTTTCTGTGCTTTGGCTCAGCCCGGGCTGTTTATTATGCAAGTGCTGTATTGCAAATGTGGAACAAAGGAAGCCGAGATATCAAATTAATACTGTGATCTGTTTTTCTGTTTTGTTGCCATAACAATCTGTGGCTCTTGAAGCAAAGAGAAAATTAGAATTGTATTAAAGGTGTTTACACCATGTACGCCCCATCCTGCATGATTATTTATTGCTATAAGAAGTGTATTTCACATTTGCTCAAGGAGAGTGAACTGCTTTTTCCCTCATGACTTTTCTAATAATCCTTCCAACCTGGCCTTGCTTTTGACCTTGGCTTTTTCTCATTGTTCTGAGCAGGACAGAAGAAGGAGGTTCAGTCGGATGCCTTTTGACTTCATGACTCCTATTAATAGATACCCCTTCGCTTCTCCCCAGTCCTTGGAGCTCTTTAAAGTCAAGAGTCTTGGATAGAAACAAAACAGGACTTGGCGTAAGTTTTCCCTTTTTCTTTGTCTCCTTCCTGACCTCTAAACCTGATTAGGAGGCCTGTCATCCTTTGGGAGAGATGAAAAAAAGCTGAGGGGTAAAAGAAAGGATAGTTAGAATAAGAGAAAGGATAATTGGAGTAAAAGAAAGGATAACTGGGGTAATTGGAGCCCCAGAAGAAGTGCAGCGGAAATTCATATGGCCAAAAGAGAAACAGGGTGCCGGTCCTCTAAAATCCCCCTCACCTAACCACGCTGCCAATGTCAAGCACTTAACTGCTCAGAGACTTCTTTGAGGCCTTTTCTGCCCCAAGCATCCCAGTCTGAGTCACAGGGTGGCTGCAATGATGGGGCTGATGTGGTGTGAGCCCCGTGACTAAGTAGATCCATTTCCTCAGGTGGGACAGTCCGCTTGGGACTGTCCAGTGCTCTAAGGTCTTTGAAAGCAGGTGTTGCTCCTGCTCCTTTTGTCAGCCTGCAATTCCTAGAACAGTTCTAGGCACATATGAGAAGCCAAAGAAGTACTTCATCCACTGGTTGTTCGGGCCGTTATGATGACATACCTAAAGAATATCCTCATAGTGAGGGAAGATAGGATTAAAAAGGCACAACTCTGGGTGAATATGGCCAATTTTTGAGTGTCTATGGCTCCAGAGAGAATAGAATGAAGGCTGGGCATGGTGGCTCACACCTGTTATCCCAGCAATCTGGGAGGCCAAGGTGGGCAGATCACTTGAGTCCAGGAGTTCGAGACCAGCCTGGCCAACATGGCGAAATCTCATCTCTACTAAAAGTACAAAAAGTTAGCCAGGTGTGGTGGCATGCACCTGTAGTCCCAGCTACTCAGGAGGCTGAGGCAGGAGACTTCCTTGAACCTGGGAGGCAGAGGTTGCAGTGAGCCAAGATTATGCCACTGCGCTCCAGCCTGGGCGACAGAGCAAGACTCTGTTGCCAAAGGAAAAAAAAAAAGAATGAAAAGGAATATTTTGAATCCTTCTTAGAAGAGCCTTCAGGGGATTTGTTTCTATTTTCTTCTTCTTCATCAGGAAAGAACATGGGCAGAGGGGGAGGTGTGGGGACCTGTGACCCTCTAAGCAAAGAGATCAGAGCCACAGAGGCCCTAGGTGAGAATAGATTCCGCAATGTCTTGCTGTTGTCCTTTACGGCCCAGGGTACCTGCAGCCAGGTCTAAAGCCCAGAGCCAGATTAAGGCCCTTTTGTATATGAGCCTCTTTGTCAGCAGGAGAAACTCAAACCTGGGATTGTCCCTGGTCATTCCAGTGCTACTGGATGAAAGAGCCCATGGGGACTGAGAAAAATTCAGCCTTTCTCTCAACACCAAATTAATTTACTTTCTCAAATTCTTGTACACAGGCACACACACACACACACACACACACACACACACACACACACTCTTAAGAAAGGATAAAGAGTACAAAAATGAGTCTGGAGGTCCAGGTTCGTGGGTGAGCGGTCACAGTGTTACCAAGGGGGGTAGCTGCGTGTGAGTATGATAACTTCCATCCCCAGGGAGAAGCGTGAAATGGAAGGAATATTAATCAGGAAACTGGAAGGAGGATGCTGGGGAAAGGATGGGCGGGGCAGGAGGATATAAGACAGTTGGGCAAGGTTGGCTCTGAGCATATCAGGAAAAAGGCAAATTATGTCTTTCATGTCTCCCACTTCTCGCTGTAGAGAATATCCTCATAGTGAGGGAAGATGGGCTTTAAAAGGCATTTTCTAGAAAGTTCTGAGCATATCAGGGGAAACGCAAATCATACACATTTGCTTTTGCACATTTGCTTTCTAGAAAATGCCTTTCAGAACTTTCTAGAAAACGGGCAGTAACTTCCTGGTCACTGGCACAGAAAAGGGCGGTAACTTCCAGGTCATTGCCATGGCATTTGTAAACTGTCATGGTGCTGGTTGGAGTGTCTTATGCTAATGAGCAATGAGGGCAGCTAGGGATGCTTTCCTGCCATCTGCTGGTTCCCGCCAAAGTGAAGAACCCCACTTTTCTGTGCAGAGGCACAGTCCTAGGGCAGAGGTGCCTCTGGAACTAAGGACATGGCAGCAAAAGACAAACACGAGGCAAGTTTTGGTCTTCCCCAAACACTGATGTTTTGTTTTTATGAGTAACCTGATGACATGTTCCATCTTAATCACTTTCACTGGTGGACATTTCTGAGAAGGGTGAGTAACTTTAGTTAATTTCTTTTTCCCAATGGATCTAAATTGCTTATAAAGTGGCACATGTCCTACTTCAGTGCAGTCATCTGTTCTGATTCCAAAGTTTACATTATAGTGTGTTTATTTCCATGCCAGCCCTTTCCTGAGGCGTAGAGATGTGAAGTAACCCATCTAAGTTCACACTGAGAGTAAGTTCACATCAACCAGAGTGACGGCAGAGCATTTTGCCATTCTGCTTCTTTCAGCAAGCATCAGTGTGTGTGTGAGGAGGGACCTTGGGGGCTTCACTGCACTTCAGTTGAATCCCCTTGTATCCATATGGTCTGACTGTCTGTGACTGAAACACAGTCATGAGAGCAGGCTGAGGTTGCTGTCACTCTGAGGAAGGAGAACTGCAGGACTTATTTCCTGATCCTTAAAGGATGAAGTGAAAAAACTGGCAGGAACAGGCAGATGGTACAAAAGGGATCCCTAGCTGCCCTCACTGCTCATTAGCATAAGGCAGTCCCAACAGCACCATGACAGTTTACAAATGCCATGGCAACGATCCAAAAGTGATTGCCCCTTTCCTTGGCAAGGACCTGGAAGTTACTTCCCATTTCCTAGAAAGTTCTGAATAACCTGTCCCTCAGTTTGCATTAACCTGGCCTTTAATTTGCATGTAATTGAAAGTGGGCATAAGTGGATATAAATGCAGTTGCCAGCAGCCCACAGGTGTGGCTCTGGGGGGCACTGCCTAGGAGTTAGCTCTCCTCTGCAAGCAGCAGTGCCCTTCAATAAAAGCTTGTTATCTAATAGTGCTGGCTGGCCTTTGAATTCTTTCCTGCATAAAGCCAAGAACCCTCCTGGGTTAAGCCCCAGTTTGGGGGCTCACCTGCCTGCATCATCCTGGCAACCACAGAGGGAAGAAGCCAGACAGTGAGACACAGCAATGGCAAGAGACAGCAAGATGGCAAAACGTGACCAGTGGGATGGTGCGAGGTGACAGTCCATGATTGTTAAGATGGCGAGATGGCAAGAAGCAGGAGTTGGTGGTTGGTGATGTGGCGATCAAAGCTGTGGAGAGCTGTTGGCACTGCAGAGAGCTGGAACACTAGCCACACGCCTTTTGAAAGCCATGGTCTTTCTTGCAGGTGGTGGCAGCAGAACTGAGTGGACGGGTGAGTGGCCACAGCGCTGCCTTGTGTGAGACCCACTACCCCGGCTGACTGGGCACTGGACCACATGCTGGACACATCACAGCTGCCAAGTCTGCCCAAGCTGGGGAAACCTGGGGAAGAGACCTTCGCCTGAGCGCCATGTTAGAGACTGGTTGGCACCACTGTGGCTTCTGCAGACAGGTAAGTGTCCCCTTTGCCCCCCCCACCCCCAACAGTATCAGGTGAGGCAGGAAATGAGGCCTTTGGATAGGTAGTCAATTCAAAGCCCCCCGCTATTTGGTTGCCCTGGACAGAAGCACACCTGACCTGCCATGTCCTTGTCAGCCTTTCTCTCCATTGTTTCTCCCCTAATGCCATCCACATAATTTTTCCATTGGCCGTTTCATTTTATTTTCCACCTTGAAATACATTTTTTTTTGAGATGGAGTCTCTCTCTGCCACCTAGGCTGAAGTGCAGTGGCATGATCTTGGCTCACTGCATCTACCGCCTCCTGGGTTTAAGCAATTTTCATGCCTCAGCCTCCCAAGTAACTGGGACTGCAGTAGTGTACCACTACGCCTGGCTAATTTTTGTACTTTTAGTAGAAAGGGGGTTTCGTCATGTTGTCCAGGCTGCTCTTGAAACGCCTGGCTCGGCCTCCCAAAGTGTTGGGATTATGGGTGTGAGACACCATGCCCAGCCTGAAATGCATATTTCATTTGTAGCTTTTGCTTTGGTTCCCTTCTAACTGTATTTGGGTAATTGTTTAAGGCAGAACACTTGGTTGGAGAGGTCTCCTGTTGTGTTGATTCTGAGACACCAGAATCACGTTGTTCTGTGGCCCTACCTGGCCTTTGGGGTTCACTGTTTCCTGGCTCCTTGGATGCTCTAGGGCTTTTGGTATTTGGTGGGGGGATCCTCATTGGCTGATACTTGGGTACTCTGGGTTTTTGATATTTGGTATTGTTGGCTACGCCCAAGATGCTCTGGGGTTTTCAGCGTTGACATTCCCTCTAGGATTGTGGGTTGGAGGCCCACCCTAGGGGAGTCTTAGTCTTGCCTTTTCTTGTTTTCTGCCCTAAAGTTATCATTTTCCATAGAAGCATTTTCTTTTCTTATTGTTACTTTATTTACACTTTTCCTTCTGCACGTTGCTTAATAAAAATACTTCTGTAGTGTTTAATTCACTGGCAAACACTTATAATATATTTTGTAATACCTTGCTACCTATACGTACACCTTCCCTACAGGAAGTGCGAATCTGAAAGGAAGAACTGCGAGGGCCCAGTTGCTTTCCCTCTCACTAGCCTTAGAAAAGCTTCTTTGTCTGGTGAAGATTCTTCTTAGACAAGCGGACAATGGCGAACATCCGAAAAGACTTGCCAGTAGGGTGTCTTTAAGGCTTTTGGTGAAAATTGAAATTCGACTTAAAAAGAAACTCATTTTCTATTGCAGCATCATTTGGGTCCAATAAAAATTAGAAAACCAAGAGATTTGGCTTAAACGTGGTTCTTTATACCATAATGCTATTTTATAATTGGACTTACTTGGTTAAAAAAAAAAAGGAGGGGCCAGGTGCAGTGGCTCATGCCTTTTATCCCAGCACTTTGGGAGGTCGAGGAGGGAAGATAGCTTGAGGTTGGAGTTCAAGACCCATCTGGGCAACATAGCAATACCCCATCTCTACAAAAAAAAAAAAAAAAATGCTGGGCATGGTGGTATGCACCTGTAGTCCTAGCTACTCTGGGAGGTTGAGGCAAGAGGATCATTTGAGCCCAAGGGTTGGAGGCTGCAGTTAGCTGTGACTGTGCCACTGCGCTCCAGCCTGGGTGACAGAGCAAAGTCTCAATAAAAAAGGAAAATGGGAAGAGGTCCCTTATGTACAGGCTTTTATGGCCCTTTACTGGCTTATGTTACTTCCAGGCACCAGGAAGTCATGCTTAAGGAATTCCCTCCTAGCTGCTCCCCCTAGAAGGCCTACACCCTCCTCCAGAGTCTCCTCAGCTCCCCCAATTCAGAGGGAGGGTTCCCACCAGGTCTGTAACACAGGATTCCACCCCAAGGTCATCAGGTACCCCTCTCCTTATCCAACTGTCCCCAGCCTATCCCCCCTACTGCCTGAGGAAGTAAGCCCAACCAGTACCACCAAAAGTGTGGTCCTGTATCAGCCCCTGAAATCAAACCTGTGTCCATTGTGGGAGGTAGCCAAAAGGAATAAAAGAATAATCAGAGTACATGCACCTTTTTCTATGCCTGGCTTGGCTTTATGCAAGGAAAAATCTGGCCAGTTCTTAGAGAATCCAGGAACATTTGTAGAAGAGTTTATTAAATTGACCATGTCCTTTGATTTACTTGGCATGACTTGCAAGTATTGTCATCCACTTTCTGTGCTGCACAGAAGAGGCAGAGAAAAAGGTGTGTGGTTAAGCCAGTAATCCTAACAATGTTAACAAAGTAACTTAGGGAAAAAATGAAAATCCCATTCAGGGCTGAATGGTTGAGGCACTCAGGAAATATTTACTAAGGTAAATCCAGACACCCCAGAAGTGGAAGCTCTCTTGGGTATGCATTTTATGACTCAGTCTGCCTCTGACATTAGGAGGAAGCTATAAAAAGCAGCAGTGGGACCCCAAACCCTGATGAGCCAACTCTGGAACATGGTCTTTAGAGTTTACAATAGGGACAGGGCAAAGAGGGCAGAGAGACCCAAAAGAAATAGCGAAAAAGCACAATTGCTAGTGAATGCTTTAAACCATCTGGCCCCTCAGGGTTACCTATCCCAAGAAAGTGTCATGAGATCAGCATCTGGGATACCCAGATGAAAGCCCCTGACTTGCTGGCCCCTGGGCTGGAATCAGCGTGCCTACTGTAAACAAGAGGGCCATTGTCAATGAGAAAGTTCTAACCATCCTGATGAAAGAGGGAAAAAGCTACCGTCAATACTAGAGCTAACCTTCTTCCAATTGCTCCCAACCAGCTGCCTTGCTCAAGTGATATTACTGGGGGTCCCAGGCCCTTGACCTGACTGACAGACATCTTCCCTCTGTGGCAGACAAGTGGCCGTCTGGATGTTTCTCTTTGGTGTCTCTGCTGCTAAGTGGACTCTCTGCTGGCTCAGGTCTCCCCTTGAACAGTGGGGTTTGCCCCCTCCCTTCTACGGGATCCCCTTCCTTGACTCTCCCTGTTTTCCATACCTATCAGGGCAAACAAAATTTGGCTAGGTTGACAGGTCCCAATTTTGCAAATAACTTGGATCCAGCTGTCTTGGATAGGTCACTTTGTGTGATGTGTGTTGTGTCTAGTGTGCTGTCAAATTGGCTTATAAGTAAAAGATCGCTCATAAATTAAACAAGTAAGACTAAACTTATTAGTTTAAAGGGAATATTGCATCTTCTAAAATTTAACTTTAAAATTTTTATTTAGGTAAACCACTGATATTTGTAGGTGTTAGAATGATTAAAACGGCTTTAAATGATGAGCTTTTTGTGTGGTTTAAAGTCTTAAAATTATAGAATGGTTCCTTATCTATAAAGTCCCAATATCTGATAGGCAGTTTAGGATTTCTTGCTTCCTAGGTTTATATAAAATAAGCCAAAGAAGATGTATCCTTTATTGGGAAAAAGAATAGTCTTTGTCTAATTCAGAAGTTATTAAAAAGGAAGTTCAAAATACAAAGAAACCAGTAAGTAGAAAAGAGAGATGTAAAAAAAAGTTATTGGTAAGGAAGGATATAAAGAATAATTTTCTATAAAAAAGATCTTATATGATAAATTCTTGTCCTAGGGTAGAATGACTGATTATTTAAATAAGCAGTAGTATTAGACAAGTCAGAAAGTCCAAGTGTGTCAGAGGTGGTCTAAGTTGTGATAAGGTTTGTAAAGGGGAATTTATAAAGGAATTTTGTGTGTAATTAATTTGGCTGTCATTAAAAGAGAATTGTTTCTAATAGTCTTTCTAGAGAACGGTCCCATGTTAAAACAAGGTTTCCCTAAGGTACAGATTTGCTGTTAATAAAATTATAAAAATGTTTGCTTTTCAATTCTATAACATGTTTCTTTGAAAAACTTCACAGATTCTGATATGTTTAGGCCATGTCCCCCATCTAATCTTGAATTGTAACTCCCACAATTCCCACATGTCATGGGAGGAGCCCAGTGGGAGGTAATTGAATCATGGGGGTGGGTCTTTCCCGTGCTGTTCCCGTGATAGTGAATAAGTCTCACGAGATCCGGTGGTTTTAAAAACGGGAGTTTCCCTGCACAAGCTCCCTTTTTGCCTGCTGCCATCCATGTAAGGTGTGAGTTGCTCCTCCTTGCCTTCCACCATGATTGTGAGGCCTCCCCAGCCATGTGGAACTGTAAGTCCATTAAACCTCTTTCTTTTGTAAATTGCCTAGTCTTGGGTATATCTTTATCAGTAGCATGAAAATGGACTAATACAGATTCCTAACTCAAAAGTTCAACCGTTGTGTCAGGCTGCTCTCAGCACTGTCCCCCTTTGGGAAGGCCCATGATGATAACCATCTCCTTTAGCTTTTTCATCAGTGCCTGTAATATTTTTTCCTCTGGTTCCCACTGTTGTTATGGCCTGATGCTAAGATGCTAAAATATTTTATCTTAATGCCTAGAAAAGCAATGTTTTCTCCTAGTATAACTTGAACCTGTACTCTTGGTTTTTTCTTGATGTATAATCTTATTTTTGGCTTTTAGGTTTTGACTCTTATATTGCTTAAAAGGGTTTTAAGGGCTAATGAATGCCTGCCTACCTCCATTCCTGTCTGGCCTAGAATGTTTAGTTGGTTGTAAGTCCCTCGGCCAAAGAGAATCCCAAAGAAACCTGAAAAACTCAGGCAATGACATGAAATAGGGGGTTGGACATGCCTCACTGTGCCTCCCCTTGAAATCTGGGCAAGGTACAAACGGTCTTCCAACATTATGAAAATAAAGGATTGCCCTTTCCCATAAAAGAAAAGAATAGCCTCCCCTATTCAACCAGCAGCTTTGCCTTACTGAAAATTTTTTAAAAAGGACCCCCCCACCACTGGATCAATTACAACTCATCAGGTATTGTAAAGTGTCCTCACTGCTATTAAACTTCAGGGAATCACTAGCTGGGTAAACCTGTCCAGGATGAAACCTGTTTCTCTTAAGTCTCCACAGGTATAAGAGGAGGACAACATGACTTACACTTGTGAACCCCTAAAAGACTTAAAGCTGCTGTTTCACAAATGCACAAATACATAATATGACAAGGAAGAGTGTATGCAATAATAAACCACACCCATTATTCTCACTTGTTTGTTTTTTTTAACTTTCCTAAGACTTTTGACAGCTATTTTATTATTACTAACTTTTGACCCTTGCTTAACTTCTTTTTTTTTTTCCCTGAGATGGAGTTTCACTCTTGTTGCCCAGGCTGGAGTGCAATGGTGCGATCTCGGCTCACCGCAACCTGTGCCTCCTGGGTCAAGCAATTCTCCTGCCTCAGCCTCCTGAGTAGCTGGGATTATAGGCATGCACCACCACACCTGGCTAATTTTGTATTTTTAGTAGAGATGGGGTTTCTCCATGTTGGTCAGGCTGGTCTCGAACTCCCGACCTCAGGTGATCCATCTGTCTTGGTCTCCCAAAGTGCTGGGATTACAGGCGTGAGCCACCACACCTGATCGCTGTTTAACTTCTTAGTAAAGTCTGTGCCTTCTAGACTATGACAATTCCATGTGAAGATGATGCTGCACAAGGCTTGCCACCCATCCAGTTGTCTGACTCGGAGAATACAAACATCCTTCCATAGGGCCCCTTAGATCAGGTCCAGAGATTTTACTCCTCCAACACTAGGCAGGGCCTATGCCCATAAAATCAGAAAGAAGCAGTTACAGAAGAAAGACCTCTGCTCTTCTGCTGTCCCCTTAAGAGTAAGGAGCAATATCTAATCTTTGAGAGGGAAATGAGGGAGGAGACCAGCAGGACTTACCTCCCTATCCCCACAAGATGAAGTGAAAAAACCAGCAGGAACCAGCAGATGGTGACAAAACCAGGTGCCTGGCTGCCCTCATTGCTCATTCACATAAGACACTCCCATCAGTGCCATTTCAGTTTACCAACGCCATGGCAACAACCAGGAAGCTACTGGCCCTTTCCAAGGCAGTGACTCGAAGTTATTTCCTCTTTCCTAGAAAGTTCTGAATAACCCAACCCTCAATTTGCATGTGATTGAAAGTGGGCACAAGTGGGTATAAATGCACTTGCCAAGAGCCCACAAGTGTGGCTCTGGGCACACTGCCTATGAGTTAGCCCGGCAAGGAGCAGTACGGTTCAATAATAGATTGCTAACACCAGGGGCTCACTCTTGAATTCTTTCCTGGACAAAGTCAAACAGTGTTGGGGCTTGCCTGCCGTACATCAACGCTATTTGCAGAAACATGTGCATTCTATCTTATGTAATACATGACAGCTTTATTTGTTCCAAATAAATACCTGAGAGGATACAACTCTGTGGGTTTGGCAGATAAAATGCCACTATTATGCTTCCTTTAAAAACGTTCATGGAAGGGGAGGCTTTTTTGGTGTGTGAGGAGATGATATTGTGAAATATCAAGATCACTTACCTCCCAGGGACAAACACACGCCTTCTTCCCTACGACACTACCCTGACTGAGGGTACAAGAAGTGGCCTCTGTTTTCCCAAAGTAGGATTGCCAGATTTAGCAAATAAAACCAGAGGATGCCTAGTTAAATTTGAAAATAACAGATAAACAACAGTTTCAGTATGTCCCAAGTAATGCATGGACGATACTTAAACGTTTATTGTTTTCCTGAGACTGAGCGCCCTGTATTTTCTCTGGCACCTCTACCCCAAAGGAGAGTGAAACCAAAAAGACCAAAATATCCGAAGGACCAAATGCTTGGCTTCCAAGTTTAAGAATTGTGGTCTAGTGTAAAACAGGAAGTAGGGGAAAGAATTCTTGCTGGGTTTTATTTTTCTGCCTGAGATGGGAAAAGTTCTGGAGTGCCTTAGAAAGTGGCTATGGTGACTGTAGCTGCTCTCTGCCCCTCTCTTTGCTTGGCTGCAGCAGGAGGGATAGAGGGCAATAGACTCCGCAGGCGCCTGCAGCCAGGGCATGGGAGCAGGGCATGGGAGCAGAACGTGGACGCGGGCTTTGAGCGGCTCCGCCCACTCTGCCTCACCTGCTTCCGGTCCCAGAGAGTTGTGCGCCAGCAACCGGATGTTCCAGGGTTCCTCGCGGCCTTGCAGGTGCTCAGGCCGGGAGCAGGCCTGTGCTGTCATCGAGGGGCGCCCCTAGGTGCGGTGGGACTAACTCCACCTCCGCCGGGGTCGAGGGTCAAGGGTGGGGGCTAGGGCCAACCCACTGAGAAGCAGCACAAGGACGCTGCAGTGAAGGGGAAAAGGGAGTCGGCCGCGCGGGATCCCAAGCTAACGCCAGGTAAGCCACGCACCGCCCCCGCCTCACCCCACCACCTCCCGACGACGACGCTTAGGGTCAGGCCTGCGGAAAGCGGGACCAACAGAACCTAATGTCCCAACCCGGGGACACCCAAACAGACGGGATGTGAGTGCAAAGGAGCGGTTGTGAGTGGAGAAACCGTTTCTGTCCTCGCTTGCCCGAGTTCGCGGTGTGGGACGCTGGCGCCGGCCCCATTAGACAGTCACGCGCGCCGGGCTAGCGCAGGGAGGCCGCGACGCGTGCGTGCACTCCGCCAGGGTGTCCCTGGCTCACGGGGGTTGCAGCTGGCATTTGAGGTCAAGGCAACGAACTCATGGCTGTGACCAGCCCTGCCCCGTGTCCTGGGCCTATGCGGGAGCCTCTGTGCCAAGCAGTCTTTCCCATCGACCTGACAGTGGGCTGTGCCCCGGTCGCCACCAGGGCACATCCAGTGGGAGTGGGGTGACCCAGGCTCTCACCACCTGTGCGCCCAGGTGGCCGTCAGGGACCTTGTGGAACGTAACGCTTATGCCGTGCCGGTTAGTGGCCGTTTGGCTTTAGACCGATACTTCACATCTGAACCCGTTTGCTCTCCTGCAAAATGGAAATAATGCCTACTTCACTGGGTCACTGCCGCGTAAATGAAGATGATGCACGAAGAGCCCATCCAGCGCCGTGCCTGGCACATAGCAAAGGCGCCATACGCCAGCGTGGCGGAAGTGATTTGTCGCTGGGCAGCCCTTGACCACATCCTCCCACCTCCCTCTTCCAGGCTCTCCGTGTCTTCTAATTCTGTTTGATTAAAATCACCTTGCCAAGAAGGGCCGTTCAAGTTTCCAGGTGGAACTGTTACTTAACTTTTTCCGGGATCGTTCATTGCGTTTTAGCCTTTTATCTGATGGGGGAATGAAGCCTTTAATTTATCAGTGGAGCTTGTTAGGGAGGAAGTTTTTGGAGAAGAGAGCCCTTCCCGGTTTTGAGGATCATAGCGGATGGCAGGTGCGGCCTGAGGGATCGAGGTGGCACAACACTGGTCTGGGCCCTGCTCCTGGCACAGGGTGATGCTCAAGTGTCTCCAGCAGTTGGCCAGAAGACGCCTGGATGCCGGGAGCTGGCGGGCAAAACACCAGGCAGCAGTGTATTTCAGGGTCACACTAGCAGGTATGTATTCTTGGCCAGGGCAATGAGCTTCAAAGTGGAATGTCAGTAGGAAGAGAACAGGGCTTTCACACAGGGCCGGACGTGACTGATGTGCTGTGGGTGTGGTTTTCAGCTGCAAGAGAGGGAAAGCAGCTAATTAGGTGAGCTAATACTACCTGGAGATTCTGCTGACCCAGGTGGAGATGGAAAGAATCACAGCTCGGGGTAGGAAATTTTGTTGTGGTTTTGTTGCAGCCATCCTGACATAGGACAACAAGAAAAAAGAATGTTTTTTTATTTTCATGTAATGTGTACAGTGGACTTTGCTGACCAGAATGCATCCCTGAACTTTATCCTTATCCCTGAGTGAAGCCCAAGGATGCAATTAGGCTGAGGATGTGATTAAGAACATGAGGGGCGTTAGAGATAGGGTGAGAGCATTTGAGCATCATTGCTGGTAAGAAAATGTTGAAAACACACTAGCCTATAAATTTAGCTATGTCACTATATTCCCATGTCAAGTGGCCATGTCACAATATAGTTTCATGGATGTAGACAGAGCTTGGCAATTTTCTGGCCCGTGTAGAAGAGAGAGAACGGACTAAACCATCTCCTTTGGATAGACATCCCAGGCATCCGTCAGCAAGCAGGGAAGAGGAGGAAGGTCTCTGGGGGGCAAAATGGGCTCCTGAATGGGACGTTAACTCCCGATGTTAACGTCCTGGCTCATCCAGAGTACCCCTGTGGAGTCCTTTCTGGGAGGGGAGAAATAACATGCCATCAACCTGGATCTTATTGTAGATGATGCTCAGTACAGGCCCTTCCCCCACTCTGACAGTCTTGCAGAGTGGGGCCAGCATTCCTATAACTGCTTCCCACCCAGTTACTGATGCTGCCCACATCTGTAGCTGGCCCTACCTGGGAGCAAGACCAGGATGGATTTGAACCTGACATGAGCCCAAGTTGTCACCCATCACTTCCCAGGACATGCTGCTGCTACTACTGTGTCCATCTCAAGGACCTTTGCTACAGCCTTGGTCTTCTCCATTCCCCACTCCGAATTCTGCCCCATCCCCCAGTTTTTTTTTTTTTTTTTTGGTCATTTCTATGCTTTCTCTAAATGTCACACCCAATATTTTGCTGTGTTTGAAATACCTCTCAACCCTTTTTCCCCTTCTCTGGTCTGATTGCCTCTTCTGTGCTTACCTGAACTGGTTCAATTTCCTTGAAACATGTCTCCTTGCCCCTAGTCTTTTCCTCTTCTACTCAGTTCACTACCCACTCTGATCCTTCCTTGGTTGACTGGTTGTTTTTGACGTTGGTGATCCTTATTTCCTGTAGACTGAAATCCCAAGGTCCCTAATTTGGAACCTGGGGCCCGTAACAACCTAATGTCAGCCACGTTTCCAGTGAAGTGCATTGTCCCATCTTCCGGCTCCTGTCCACTCTAGTCAAATCGGGCTGTTCGCTGTCCGCAGCCACACTGCACACCTACTCTGTATTTGCTGCAGTTGTCCTCTACTTTTCTGCTTGGTGAAATCCTGCTTATGTTTTGGGATTTCTGTCAATTTGGCTGTAGATTGTTTCCTGAAACCTTCCTCACCGTTAGAAATGCAGTTCCTTCCCTTTGGGTTCCAAAGTCCCCACATACTCCTTGGTCATGACTTAACATGTTGAGTCATAATTACATACGCTTTCTCCTACCA
Source organism: Homo sapiens (assembly GCF_000001405.40). Taxonomy (NCBI): domain Eukaryota; kingdom Metazoa; phylum Chordata; class Mammalia; order Primates; family Hominidae; genus Homo; species Homo sapiens. Next base: position 11,341,731 of record NC_000010.11, on the reverse strand, counting down.
GTCTGTAATCTTACGGAGAGATGATGTCTCCAGAATTCTATAGGACTTCCAATTCTCTACCAGTGTTTCCCAACCCTTGCCTTAGGACACTAGTTCTGCTGGCTGTTCATGAACACCTCTCTAGAGCTTATTGTGTTATAAATGCTGTTAGGAATAGTTCCCATATAGGTAGGTGCTGCTGTTGGTGTCCTGTGTTTCACAGATGATGAAATTGAGGAACTTGCTCAAGGTTCAAGCTAGTAAGTGGCAGAGCCACGGTCAACCCAGGCAACCTTATTCCAAAGTCCATGTGCTTCCCCACTGCATTGAATCACCCCTCCGGTTAATAGGTATCATAGGATGACAGTTTCAAGAATGAAAGCACAGCTTGCACTGGGCTGAACAAGGTGAACTAGGTAGGTCTTTGCTGCAGGGTGCAGAGCTGTCCCAGAGCTTTTCTAAGTGACTGCACATGGGCAGCTTCCAGGAGGATTGGGTTAACAGCACTCCTCACACCTTCTTGGCTGCCGAACTTATTTTTCCCATAGATTATCTTGCAGGGTAATGTCTGTAGAATAGAATTTGGAAAACATTACTTCAGATCAATGTTTCCAAATTCATACCACACCGTAAGTTTGTGAATTATTCAAATTTTAACCTGGATGGTTGTAATTATAGAGGTGTGTGACATATATTTATAATCACATTCTTGAATGACAGATCACCAATATTTCCTTGTTTGTTTGCTCTGGCCAACCTGAGGGGCTGCTTGCCTGGCCCTCTCGTCACCGGGTGGGGGAGTTGAGTTGGGAATCTCCCCTTCTCTGACACCTGCTCTGCAGAGCGTCATGTGCCAGGGAAGGCAGGCAAGTGGGTACCAACATTTTATTGCAACTGGGCAGAAATTGAGGCTGCGAACAGGGATGTGCTGACACTGTAGGAGAGGCTGAAAGGGGCACCTCTGGGGAGATGCAGTCAGTGGGGGATAGAAAGCGGGCAGAGCTGGGCTGGCGGGGCATGGGGTCCTGGAGCTCCAGGTGGGTGGTGACTGCAGCATCAGCTCAGCAGGGCATTCTTCTCTTGCCAGAGCCCCCGCCTCTCAGGCCCACAGAGGCCCTGTCCTCCCTTACATCCCCCCTACCCACCTACCCAGCCTAATTGTGTTCCTTGAGGGGAAGGCACCCAGCATTTATTTCAGTTCATAGTTTTTAAAGATGTGAAGCTGTTGGTTGGATCCCATTTTGTAGATGGGGAAGAAAGTGTCATAGTTGGGTGGTTGGGAAACATGACCCTGGAGCACTTGGGCCACTTTGGTCAGCTCTGGCCTCGGTAAAGACGTTGTTGTGTACAAGCTTTAGGGAGCTTCTTGCCCTGTCTCCCACTGTCTTTCATCCTCCCCCAGGACAGCCGTTGAAGCTCCAGCGGGGCGATGCTGAGTCTGAGCAACAGTGAGCTCAGCTAAGGTAGAGTGTCCCATAGAAGTGTCTCCGAGCAAGTAATCTGTGTGGGCGCCCTGGGATGCAGTGTCTGCTGTGCGGGGAGAGAGGTTTGCCTGGACCATCCACTTGATTACCTGTTTTCCCTTATTTGGCAGAGAAGCTAATTATGGCCAAACTCTCAGAGGGAGGGGTATGACGTGTTAACTGTCTGCACCCACGGCCTAACCAGAATGCCTGCCATAGGGTAGCTCTTTAACGTGTGTTTTGAACAAATGAATGATTAGCGGCGAACGTCCTCGCTCTGTGGTAGCTATTGTTTTGTTGGGACACAGAACTAGGATCCAAGCCCATGTCCTGCGTGCCTGCCGCCAAATGGCATCCCTGCAGTAGCAGGGACCTTGTGCCTGTCCGAGTCTGTTTGAATGGCTCGGTTGTGCTGTGCAGGGTGGGGGGCTGGCGTCGGCCCCATCCTGCCCTGGGCACTAACTTGCCAGGCCCAACAGGAGCTGCCGTGGGAGATGGGGGAAAGGGAGCGGATCCGCTTCTCAGGAATGCCTGAGTCAGGCGCCTGTCTCCACAGTTTCTGTTCATGTGCGCTTAGTTCTATGTCCGTTCTGATCTCAGATGTTAAACTTCTGTCGAGATAGAAAATGTTCCTGAGCGGGTGCAGAAAGAGATGACGGGACATCTGAGGTGGCTTGACCTCATAGCGGGCAAGTCTTCCATTTGGGACCCCTTAGCTGAGAAGCTTTGGGGCCACCAGGCAGAGCCTGCATAGGGGGCTCACCGCAGTGGTTCTCCCTCATTCCCACCCATGCCCTAGGCCCCCACTCTGTGGCTCCTGACTTTGGCCAGGGGGTCTCCAGTTTCCACCCCGCTGAGCGCATCCACAATTGAATAAAGAAGCCTTGTCCCCAGCCCCAGCATGCTCACTGCTGCTTCCCAGAGTCTCCTCGACCAGCCAGCATGTTTGAACCCTGACTAGATGGCAGGCACTGTGCGAGGCACGGGGGGTTCATTGATGGACGAGACACAGTCACTTCCTTCAGAGAGCTCATGGTCTAGCTGAGGAGACAGACACATGTGACATGGAAACAGCACACCATAAATAGCGAATGTTCTGCAGCATTGCAAAGAATGCGGGAAGATAGAAGTGGGTGGAGAGAGGAGGGAAGGGGAGAATGACTCCGAAGACTTTAACCATTTGCCACAGGGCTTAGGTAACAGAGAGTCTCTCTTAATAGTCACCCTCTGCTTAAGCTATGACTTTTAATCTTTGTGCTTTTAGTAGCAAAATCATTTTTCCAAACTTCTGCATGGATCACCAATAAAGACAACAAAAGCAGAGTGCCTGTGGTGAATTGGGAGCAGGGTGAGGATGGGGGTGGGGGTCGGGTGCTCTCTGCCTGGCTGCATCCGTGTGCCTGCCCTTGTTTCAGAAGTCCGGCCTCTGCTCTCCCTGAGGTGGTCATATACCCATTCAGGTTGCTGTTGAGCACCGCTTTGCCTTGGAAGGGCCTGGAACCTACAGGCTTGTTACAGACAGATCTACAGGTGACCTTGTCATTCCTGCCTTGGGTCCAAACTGGACAGCTAGGCTTTTCTTTTGGGGAAGAGATGCCTAAATACAATACAGGTAGGAAGGGGTGGATCTGAGTGAGGAATCGTTGCCTTTTCCTAGCGTGGGATGAGTTGGTGGCTTCCTGGAGCTGTGTGGTGTGTGAGCCTGTGAGGGGAGATGCCGCTAGAGTGGACAGTGTCTCTGAAGGGGAAAGGCCTGTTCTGGGACTTGTCAGTGCAGAGAGCTCTGCTGGAAGAGCTGTACTTTCTGGTCAGACCTTGCCTACAGTTCCCCAGGGAACCCAGGGAGCTAAGTGGACACCTGCTGGGAGAAGGTGAGAGGCCAGGCCAGCAGAGGCCAGTTCAGCTGCCCTGTCTTTAGGTGTGGCTGCTGCGATTCACCTGCGGCCCGGCCTAGTGCTCACAGCGCCGTGGACCCTGAGCACATCATTTTATGTGTATTGGCTTAATTGATCCTCATGACAACCCCACATATTAGGTATTATTTTTACCCTCCTTGTGCTAATGAGGAAATTCAGGCACAGAGGTTCCCTGGGTAATCAGTGGTAGGGTTGGCATTCACATCGAGGCAGTCTGGCTTCCCAGAGAATGCACCTGAGAACTTTCTATACATGGCCCAGCAGCTTCATGAGAGAAGGATCCTCCAGTGTCTCACAACTGGGGATTTTTATGTGCGGCTTCAGCTATAAGTGACCAGTTGGAGAACAGTGTGTGTGTGTAGTTTGTATTAAAACACCCTCCTGATGCAGGCACGTGGAAGCTGGTGCCAGGGTGCTTTGCTGACCAGTAGAGACAGGTTACAAGACATGGAGTATTCCTCAGAAAGCAGCTCCTGCCCGGCAGGTGACTTCCAGCTGCCTTGACCTGTTACTCTGTGCTGGTCTCCCAGCATGCAGCCCCTGGTTAGGGAGACATGGGGGACTCTGGAATCAGGGCTGCACACCAACAGGGGAAGACGTTGGTCTTATTCCTCCTTCCCCGACTAACTCAGCGCCCTCCTACCCATGACGCCCTCGGCTGTGTGCTCTTTACGGAAGGGGTGTGTTCTAGCTGTGTGCCTGACTGGCAAGGGAGGACTGTGAAGGGCGCCCCACACGCAGGCAGCTCTTCAGCGCCTGCGCCCAGGTCTCCTGGACCATGGGTCTCCCAGTGTTAAGCGCTCCCCACGCGGCTGCACGGCACCAGCAGGTATGCCCTCTCCAGGCCCTTGGCTTTGGCTGCCTTTTCCTGCTTCTTGGCTCTTTCTCTGCTCCCTCACTTTCATTAGAAGCTTCTTTTTTTGTGAGAAGTTTATGAGTAGGAGGTTTGTGGTGGGAGAAAGCAGAGAATGGAAGAATAATTCTGGATTATCTGTGGGTTTTCATTAGCTGCTCTTTCTGTCCCTCATTACCAGGAATGAATAAGATTTGCTTCATAAAGGATCAGGATGCTTGTGCCATTTTGCAAGTAGAAGTTAAGGAGTTTTTCTCAGAATCCAGCATTAAGCTAGAAAAACAAATCCAACATAAAACCCTGAAGCAAAAAAGGAATCCAACAGAAAATGCCATTCTGTTCAAACTTACGGCCTGTAGGAAAAATTTCAAAAATATTCCTTCAAAGGGCCAAGCAGCAGGCCTCCCGTTTAAGCGCTGCAACTGTTATAGGATGTCTCTCTCTCACACACCGCTTTGAAACATTACCCTTCTCATCCTGCATGATCAAATGCCTTCTCTTGCTGACTCTCATTCTGCCTTCCTGAATAGGGCGGCTATTGTTCTCCAGCAGGGCATGCTTTCAGTGTCACATCATTCTGGCAAAGTATTGACACAAACCAGCATTATTCCTGGATCTGCCTTTCTCTTTGGTCCCCTTTCTTCTGGGCCTAAAGAGATCACATCCAGAAAGACAGTTGGGTTTTCTAGGTTGGGGCAGACTCTGGGTGCTTCCTAGTGGGCTTTTTGGCCATGAAGGGACTGCTCTGTTCCGCCACCCACAGTGTGCGGATAGAGACTGGCCGTGGTCACGAGGCAGGCGATGGATTTCCAGAGGTCTCTTGGCTAAAATGCACTCCGGAGAACTTTTGTTTCCAAAGTCAATTTATTGAATATTAAGTCATAAAGCCAGTGATATAATTTTAATGAAAAATATCCTGTATCACTCAAGACTTAAAAGAACAAAAATACCCCTTAGAAACACTGCTTTGAAAAATAATCACATTAACTTTACACACAACAGAGTCCTTTCTTAAGCTTTATTTAAGAAATCGAGTACTATATAGTTCAATATATATAAGACACATCCAGTATTGTGTTCCTGATAGCAAGTGCATAGATTTTGTTAAGATATCATTTTCACTCAATAGAAACGTTTCATGGTCACATGAAGATAATATTCCCAGTGATTTGCCCAAGCATGAGAGGAGAAAACAGAACACAGCAAAAATAGTGAACTACAACAGAGATGAAAAACAACAACAGCAAATTAGCAGAACAGTCGATTCCTGATAAGTGAATAAGCTGATTGTTTGGTCACAATGTTTTATTCACTTATCAGGAACGATTCACAGTACATTAATGTTCACTGTGTGTCCTAGCCTGCCAGCTAAGAGTCCGAGCCCATCGGCTGCGTGCGACTGCTGTGGGCTGGGCAGCGTGTGTGGCTTCCATCAGCAAGGCGGATGTTGATGGTGCTGCGGTATCCCAAGGTGGTCCATGCATGGCACACGGATTCACCTTGCTCACACTGCAGTGGTGTCATACCGACTCAAAACTATGGGTATGAATTTAAGCAGGGACCAACTTTACAGTCAGTAAGTGCTTAAAGGAACTAGCATTTTCATCCCCTTCTTTGGAGAATTATTTGTTGCTTTAGAAAAGCAACAAAAACTGGCTTTGTCTTTCTCTTCCTTTGCTTAGCATGAGTATTTTGTCTTGTGCCAAAATGGTGGAACTATGTACTTATAGATTTGAAAAATAAACACTTGCACCTTGGAAATGATAATTTAATCACCCCCCATGCCTCCCAACATCCCCCTCCCACCTCCCTAATAAAAAGAAATCACACCCTTAGCCATCCTTTCCCACTAACGTAGGCAGTGTGTTTTCAGAGGAGACTGCCGAAGGCTATGAGGAGACTGAAAGCAGAAGTGATGGTAGGAAGTGAGCTCCATCCGTGCAGGCTGGAGCTGGTGGCATCACCATCACTGAGGCGGCCAGCCCCGGGGAGGGAGCCTCCCTTCCTCCACCTCGCCAGGCCCCTCTGTTCTTGAGCAGACTAGAAAATACAATCTCGGGCCAGAGGGGCTGCTGCAACGAGAGGGTGAAGAGCCTGAGCACCTACTGGGAGAGATTTCACTGGCACGCAGAGGAAGGCTGCCAGGTGCTGGGTGGCCTGAGTCAGAGCTTGTGCGTCTGAAAATACTGGAAGGAGAGATAAGACAGAGGGAGCAAACATCGACGGAATCTTGTAAGAGCACTTTAAGAGCAATCAGATTCCTGAGCAGAGGCAGAACAGGGCCTGCGGCTTCAGTCTTTGAGGGCAGAGAAGGAACAGTTTTTGATAACTGGCCTTGGGGTGACAGTGGGGACGAGACTTAGGTTCATCCAGGAGGGAGTGTGTGGATGCGTATGGCGTTATTAGCTTTTGTTTGGAAAAGGACAGTAAACTATGAAGACGACTTGAGTGTGAGAAACTTTACCTCCCCCTGCCTCCACCGGACTGAGTACAGCTTCCATTTGAGCCCTTGGAAATACTTCTTTTCTCTTCCGTTAGTGTTAATAATTAAAGCTGCTCCTGGATTCAATTAGCTTGTAGAAATAAATAATTTAAATGACTTTTCTATACATATCTTTTGATTGAGGGCAACAAATAATAGACTTAAGTTTAACCCTTTTCACTGGCTAAGTTGATTTTTCTTCCCTGGAGAACTCACTTCTTTTAGAAAGTGATTAGTGTCTAAGAAGAGTTGGACTGTAATGATGCGGGTTTGGCCTCGTGGGTGTGGAGAGGAAACCCCGCAGCAGTTTGGAATGTATGTTAAGAACTGCGTGGATAGACTCATGAGGGAGGGGAGAGAAGGGGAAATTAACCTGTGTGGTCAAAAGACCGTAAAACACCTTGGCAAATCCAACCCCAAAGGCAGTTACTGAGGTGAACTGTAGGAAAAAAGTGTATAAATCTTGGAAGCAGGAGTTCAAGTGGGCGGTTGTACATAAATCAAAGGTGGCTGCTGTGCAGTTTCCTCTTCCCCAAATCAGATATTCACTTAAGTGGAATCGACTGTATCTTTTTACACAACATAGAGAAAAAAACAGATACGTGAAACAGTGAGGTGTGCAGATGTATCACCAACATATAATGACTACCAACAATACAACACGCAGAGAGAGAAACAAGTATTAGGAAAATGGTTTAATATTGGAGACAGAAGCAAAAAACTGCATCACACAATAACATACATTACAAAAATAAGTTTGACTGTTTCAACTACACGGTTATGTTCACAATGAGGACAGAAGAATCAGAAAAAACTTTGATCTAAACAGCAAAAAAGCAAACCCTAAAGTTTTAACTAATACATTTATCCACTTAAAGTGACTGAGTACTTCTAAATCTAATTACCTTATTGTGTAACTGCACAATACAGAATAAAAAGTGAAACTTACCGCTGTTATTTTAAGACAAAATTCTAATGCTAGATATAAGCAAAGGGAAAAAAGAAATCAAGCCAAAGTTTTTAATTCTCAAAAGAAAAGCAACTTTCTTTCTATCAATCAATCAATCAATCAACCCGAAATCAAACTTGAAATCAGTCATTGTCAGGGGCCCACCAGAGCAAGCCACAAAAATTTCCATTTTTTTTTTAATCTCCAGTATAAAAAGTTCCACTGGTACAAAATGCATAAGTACAATCAGTTGTAGAAATAGGAAAGCCTGCGTATTTTTTTTTTGGCTCAAATTCCATCAAACAACAAAATCCAAATGCATCAATAAAACAAACAATACTCAAATGGTCTTACAGTTTCCACTAGGTTGCATTAACTTTGGCTTTTCTCAGACAATATTTAAAAACTATTTTGTAATTCTAAACAAAATGATTATTAATCTACAAACATCAATTCTCACAGCACAAAAAAACAAATACATTTTTTGTATGACATTATTCAAAAAGGTAATGAAACTACAGGTTTTTTTAAAATTTTATTTTTTTTTTAATTAGCACTTAAGATAATAAAAACAAACAGTAAAATGATTCCAGAGTAGCACAAGCCAACTATAACCCCTATGGTGAAAGAAAGATGAACTCGTTACGCCTTTGAGGACTGCCATTGTATCACAATTCTCTAATTTAGATTAAAAATGACTATTCTCTACAATTGATTAAAAAAAGCGGTTTCCCTGTGTGTGTTTTCTTCTGGCACAGGCCCTTTGCACCCTTGCAGCTTTTTCCTTTTGATATTTATTAAAAGATAAAAGTGGATAGAAGGACAGTTTGTCTCTGTGGAAGGTTATTTTTTGGAGAAGGGCAAAAAGGACTTTCCCCCTCATGTCCTCTCTTGGTGACTTGTGAAGAAGAAACACTCGATTCAGAGGGCGCGTCCTGAGCCTCCTGTCCCCTACCCTCAGTGTTTCCTCTGGGGGAGATGCATGCAGGTGGGTTGAGGTTGAGAGGGAGATGGGGAGGGGAGTCGGCTTCAGTAAATTGTTTTTCGTTGAGATTTAGGTAATTGATAAGAAGTTTCAGAATGAAATGGTCTTAGAAATTCAAGTGGTGGGCTCTTGTGTTTCCACGTACGTGGTACGTGTCGAGACACACCGTGTTCTCAGAGAGAGACAGGTGCAATAAGTGTTGTTATTAAGCTGATTGCTGCAGAAAGTACAAAATAGCCCTCAGAGGATGAAGGAAGGCCCCAGCAGTAGTAAACACATGTGAGGATAATACAAATCATGTCATTGTAAGGAAGTGCATGTGCTATAAGAAGGAAACGTTTGTGTTGCTTTTTGTTTTTTTGCATCAGTAGAGGCTAGTCCTTTCCATCCCAGGGCTATCCCATCCACACACACTGATCCTAACAGGGTGCTGAGCGGGGAAGGGGAGCTGAGGCCAAGAAGCTTCCAGGGCATGCCGAAGAGGAAGACTGGAGCTTGTGTTGGGGCTGTAGGCGTGACATTAGGATTTGTCAAGACAGCAAGGTACCTGTTCGTAGAAAGTCATATGGCACTTTAAAAAGTGGCAGCAGGAACTGGTGCTAGGTATTTGGTCAGTAAATTGTGATAAAGAACTGAGCTTTACTTAGATGAAATGTGTTCAATTAAAAAAACCAAAAAGGCTGGGAAAGGGCTATGGGCTTCTAACTCCAGACACCTGGTATATTCAGAGGTACCTACTGGGATCAGAGATGCCCCAGCATAATGGCTGATTAGAAATATTATTTAGGAGTATTTAGGAAACAGAAACAAAACCCCTCAAGAGACTGTCCTGCCACAAAGTCGTTTTACTGCAAGGTATATGAAAATATTCTAGACTAGGACATAGCACTAAACGTGATCTCAAAAGCATACAGGATTGTTAGGTGCTGAATCTACCTCCGTTTTCCCTCAGGGTTTATCCAATTACTCGTTAAAACTGAAGAAGGAATTCTAGTAGCACATTAGGAATTCTTTTCCCAAAAATGAGAAATAATCAAAAGTAGTAAAAGTAGTGTAGGATTTTTTCCCTTTAGATTGGCCTCGTGGAATTGTTTTCTGTTTTCTTTTGGATCTTAACCAAAGAACAAAGTAGTCAAACCGAAACAACTTAGAGGATAGATGCAGGGAAAAAAATCCAAATTGGAAACACCCCAAAACAAACTCAAATCATGACAGTATAAAAAGTCATCAACATTCCAGATAGCTCTGGGTAGAAAGGGTTAAAAGTTCAAAACTTTCTCACCTTAGAGGTTTCCATAGATTATGAAGAAAATACATGGTGAGGTTGCCTTCACAGCACTGATGTGCGGAGTGGTTAAAAAAGTGGGACATGGGCACTTATACAATGTCTTACAAAAAACATCAGAGAGAAATAACAAACAATAACAATTTCAGGCAACAAGACCACAGGATAGCAAGTTAACAAACTTTGTAACCTTTTTTTGTTTTGTTTTTTTTTTTAAATATTAGGGATTTATACAAAACACATAATAAAATACCCATGTTATCAAATTACTTCTCACAAGAAACACACTGAAGCTCTAGGAAGGAAGTACCTTTGGAATTTGGCACTATATATTTTCACTTTTTTTCTTTAAAAGAAAAAAACATCACATTTTGCTGAACACAAACACATCTAAATAGTCCACAATTAAAAAAAATGACATCAATGCTTCACAAGCCAACACAAAACTTATTCTGGAATAGGTTTTTTTTTTTTCCCTCACATGAAATTTTTTTTAAGCAAACAACTTTTTTTTTTGAAATTCTTTTTTTTTTTTTTGTATTAAGTAAACCAATTCTAAACTTGTCTTATCAACAAAGAACATTAAGACTCATGATGAAACCACAACTTAATTCACAGAAGCACCAACATAACACAGTTTACAGTAACCTTTCTCCTGTACATTGAAACAGTATAAAATATAGGTAATTTCATGTGCATTAAACCATGGATTGTCTAACTGTGAGTTCAGCAAAAGGTGACACAAATAGGTAGCATTTGCCCCAAAACAGGGTAAATATTTTTCTTATACTAATCTACAAAAAGTGGTTCTATATATATATCTTAATGAGAAAGTGAGCCACCTAAAATGGCCTTATCAAAAAACTTTACACTGCCTGAAAAATGTAAAAACTATTACAGACCTCTAGAGACTTAAAATCAGACAGTTTTTTTCTCAAACTGTTTTTGGAAGTAGTCTGTTAGAAACCAACATTCTGTGTCCCTGGACACATATTGCTATTGTTACCAGTGACCGGGAAGAATGCCAATCCCTGTATAATACTTTCAAGTCTGTTTTAGGAAAAGAAAAAAAATAAGAAAGAAACGTTTTTGCCACAGGTTTTTTCTATAATGAATTTGTCTAATAATAAATTTCAGTCTTGCATGAATGCAGCAATGTTTTTCACATTGACTTCCCAGAATTCATAGCTAGATGAGGTCACATGCAAATTTCAAAGGTCAAACTAGATCAAAGGTCAGTAGGAGAACCAAATATGATGTGAGGTCAGAAAGACATCAGAAACAATGACGGGACGATGAAACTTTTTTTTGAGACGCCACAGGGACATGCTAGGCAAACGATGAACTAACGGGCATGAAGATGTCTAGGGAAAAAACAAGGAAGAGTAAAAAGTTACACAGAATCTATGCAGCGGCAACAAAATCACTTTTAAGGGTGCAGGAGAAAAACTAATGCAAATCTTAGGTCATTAGGGAGTCTCCGAGCCATTCACATAATTTGCATTTCTTACACTCCTTATCCACAGCACAATGAAACCCCAAGAGAATCCATCTGGAGAGAGCGAAACGGGATGGATTCCGGGTGTTTTGGGGTGAGGGACAGGGGGAGAAGGTCCAGTTTCAACAAATGTGACATACGGGGAAAGTCAGACGACTGAACTGTAAACTAGATAATGGAAGTTACAAACAAAATAATCAGACAGATACAAACAACGAGAGGATAAAGCATGAACTTCAGGTCTAGGGTTCAACGGTGAAAAAAAGCCCATTCCTAGAACAATTCCTCTAGAGACTACTTCAGAAGGTTCTAGCTAGACAGAGAACTGCTCTTTAGGTACCCAATAAGTTAACAATAGGCAATAAATAACTTCCATTATTTCTGAGGCAGTAAAAATTTTGTATAAAAATAGAAATGCTTTTTTACAAATAAAATTTACAGGCCTGTGGCTTTCTTTTTTATTTATGTATTTATGTATTTATTTATTATTATTAAATTTATCTTTCAAGAAACATCAAGTATTTTCACTCATTTTTATTTTTTAAACCCTGTAGCTTTAAGAAACAGATCTCTAAATCTTTTTGTACATTAATCCTTTCTAAAAACTAAAATAAAACAATAACAAAATAGACAACCAGTGTAATATTTTGACCAATAAATGTCATGTTTCTTTGAACCCTAAAATAAAATCCTACTTAGTAAAACAAGCCGATGTAGTGGAAAGACGTGTGGTTGGAGTAAGTGCTTCTCCTGGCTTCTCCCTCTCCTAGGCCACCAAGTTAACCTCTAAGCACCGGGCCCTCCCTCCGGGGGCGGGCGCCGGGCAAGGAGGGGTGAATTCTCCAGGCAGTGCTCTCGGGGCACCAGTGGTTTCAGAGTTAGAATTGCACATTAGCGTTTGTTTGTTTGCCTTTTAAATTCTCAAGATGCCATTTATTTGTGTATATGCTTCTCTTTAAAAAAAAGCAAAAATGAAAAAAATTAAAAAAAAAGGTAAAAGGAGATTCAAATCGCAAAACAAAGGAGAATACAGTGGCACAACTGGAGGAGGAATTACTCAATAGAAACAAAGTAGCCCAAGTTTTAATTATGGCAAACTGGGTAGGGGAAGTGGGTGGGGACATGGAGGCCTTATTGTAAAAATAACCGTCTCTCTTGGTAAAAGTTGGCAATGTGGTCCTCCTCTGCCTTCCCTGTTGAGACAGGCTGGCTCGTGGGACTTACCCTAAGAAAGCTAAAATGAGAGCAGGGAGCCTCTGGGGTTAGGATCAGTAAGGTTTGCTGTCGTTTTTGGAACGCTTCAGCTGCACCTTCAAGCGTTTCATGCCGATCTGAAAGCCATTCATAGCTTGGATAGCAGCTTGTGCAGAGACTGGATTGTCGTAGCTAACAAAACCTGGAAAATACCGAGAGAGGGAGTCAGCCTGGAGAGGAAGCCCAGCAGAAAACAGAAAAGGGGGCTGGAGCTCTGGGGAAGGCTGAAGAGCCAGCATGAGGTGCCAGCCCCACGGGCCCAGCACAGCTCTGCGGAACTGATCGTGAGTCCACCGTGAGTGGATGATGGGGCGTGCCCACTGAGCAGCTGTGGAGCAGCTGGCTGGACTGGAAATGTGGCATCATGGAGCACACACCCCTCCCCACAACACTGAAACCTCAGACTCAATTGTTTGGCTGAATTCAGTTCCACTTACTGAACTCGCTCAAATCATTGTGTTTCAAGTCCTTTAGTATCTCTCCAAAAGAACCCCAGGTCCATACATGCTACTCATACAAGCAGTGGTGTAAATATTTCAGGGCTGTGGGGGCCCCTAGGGGCTCACGTGTCCCAGCCAGGTGAGGCCAACAGGCAGGCTCGGGAAGGGAAGGGCTGGAGAACAGCAGATACTGCCAAGCCCCAGCCTGTCACTCGAGCTCTCCATCGTCTGTCACACAGAGCCTACACCTGTTTAGCTGGAGGATGGGTCAATTAGCGAATAAACTCTAGAATAACTCACTCATACTTGATTTTTACCCATTTGGAGTTAATACCAAGGAGACTAGGGAAGTGCTGGGCCTTTCTCCTTATCTCACTTTCCATTTCCAAAGCTCCAGTAAATTCAGCAGAAAGGAAATTGCTCCCTGGCATCTCCCAAAGTCTGGGGGATACATAGTCAACGGCTTAGAACTTAATCATCTGAAGAGAATTCCCCATCTCTTACTCTGTAGCAACGACCTCCACCATAAACAGCAGGGAAGGCAAGCTTTTGAAAAAGAACTGCAAAGACCCAGTGACAAGAGGATCTTGGTCCCAGAGTCTGTTCCAGCACTGGGGGAGGCAGCAGCAGAGGTATAGCAAGGCTGTAAAGGGTGCTGATCCGAGTGGTGACAGGAAGCTATGGTCCTGATTTACATTTAGGTCTAAACGTCAGCTGTTCGGAAGGTTCTATACTAAGCACCTCTATCCATCTGCTATTAAAGCTAAAGAGAAAATTCCTTTACAAACTAGAGGAGGAAGAAGAGGACATGACTTTTCTGCCCAGTTCTCGGCTGATAAAAATGGGCATGCGGCATAACGCTGGGCAGCTTTTCAGAGGTAGGCTGGATTGCAAAGAAGTGGCTGTTTACATTTTTATTAAGTCTCATTCCCAATAAATGTGATCTGGGATCCAAGATTTTTGCTCTGACTTTCCTTTCCCTCTGGGTCTTTATCAAGGAACAGCAAGATAGTTACAGAATGGAAATGGACAAAGGTGAGATGGATAACAAAACCTGGCTAAGAACTAGGAAGGAACGGGGCACTACCTTATGACTGGCAGCCCTAAGAAATGCGGCTGGCTCACCAAGCAAACTGGGTGCTATAGCGTTCCACAAAAATGGAAACCAGTCCATCATGCTCAAGAATTGTCTGCTGACACTAACAGCTATGGTTTACATCAGTATGAGCACATGGTTAAGGAGGCTGTAGGCTGATAAACAATCTGTTTTCAAGGAAGTATTTTCTCAAATCAAATCATGAAGCAGAATTCCCTTCCAAATCTAGAATATTGTTTAGCTACGAAAAACACAAAAGTCAGCCTCAAAGCCTTGTAAATCATGTAGGGAAGCCTCCCTAAAGTAGGCTCCTGCTCAGACACACCCCCCCGCCCCCCATAATGATTTAATTTGCATATCCCTCTCTACTGAACTGTCACACGGGTTTATACAGTTGCCACAGCAGCCGCCGAATGGGTCCCGACTGACAGCCTTGCTGCTAGGGTAACGTGGTGACTGTAAGTGGCTGACATGCGGAGTCCTTTAACCATGCCTTCAGACCTTCCTGGGTGATAGCACAAATTAGACCTTAGGATTAGAGTTTTAGAAGCCAAAACATTCTCTTTGGCCTGATTACTCATTACCAGCCAGAGTTAAGTTTGAGAACCACCCTCCCTTTGCTACTTTCCTTTACAGCACAGAATTCTGTGTGTTTCCTCCAGCCCTTACCTAACTACCTGGGTTTTATGCTGTTACTATTTCCCACCAGCATGAATTATTAAATTGCAGGAGTGATTAAAGCAAATACTCTAACTCAAACTGGGCCCTGAGCTTGCCAAGTAATATATACTCTGAACATCCTGGCCTGTAAACTGCTTTGGGGGCCAATAGGGTTTGAAAAATGAAACAAGGAATATATTTAATGAATGCTATTGTCCTGGTGTAAAACATCAGTCCATTCTGTGAGCATCCCTTCCTCCCTAAGGGAGCGAAAAACACCCACAAGAGGCAGAGTCCAGGCTGCTTGAGGAAAGGGGGCATGGCAGCTGAGTCTCTGATAACAGCTGCACGCCCCTGGACTCCGCATTCATTCCCACTCCCCGATGGTGGCCCTTCAGATCTCATCATGCAGCGTGCTATGTAACCGTGAGATCTGTCAACTGCTCATCCCGGGCACGTGGAGCTGCGATCACGCAAGCAGCCTGAACACATGGATGTGTTGGTGCTGATGAATGGGTGTCTGTCTGTGAAAGTGTCTTTGTGTGCGTGTATGTCAAGGCCAATAAGCCCCCAATATGGTGTTGCCCACAACCACGGTGTCTGAATTGTACTAAACCTGGAGGGCTAAGGAATTAGTGGGGAAGATGAGCTAAATTGTGGTTAGATTCCTTAATAGTGTAGTATAGAAGATTACCTAATGTATGGGCGTTGACTTTAATTTCCCAGAGCCTTCCTTTCTTTGCCCAAATCTGCTTACAAGGATCCAGAAAATCAGAGCCCAACACAATGTGGGGAAGGCCCTATCCTGGCTGAAACTGTCTCACATTTTCCTTCCCACGACTCTTCACTTGGGAACCTACTGCAATATACTAGCTTAGTTTCTTTTGCATACCAAAGCACTTGCTCAGATTGGTCTGTTTGTCAATGAAGACTTTAGCAGAGATAACATTTCCAAAAGGCATGAACATCTGCAGAATGTCCTGGTCTCCAAATTCCTGTGGAAGGTGGTAAATAAAGAGGTTTGCCCCCTCTGGACCTAAGGAGGAAAAAAAAAGTCAGAGTAAGGTATCCCTTGAGTCTTAGTTTCCAAAGTCCCTTCTTAGGAATACTTTAACAACAGGTAGGCTAAGCATTTAGTTGAACAAACAAACAGATGGATAAATGTCAAGTGCTGGAGTGCCTTTCAGGAAAGCAATCATCCTTCAGATTTTCCTGATTTCCAAAGATGCTGGTTACGAATGGCTTCCTTTCCACTGACAGTCTTCTGTGAGTCACAGGTGCCACTGCCCCTTGGCATATGCATTTCAGTCACCTTTTCATGGGGCTGAAGGTGACAGTGGGCAGAATGGGGACAGATAATCTTGGCATGGGTTTTTCTTGGGTGGCCGTATTTTCTCAGGTACGGACAGGCTGTGAGAAGGAAAAAAGGGTGCTCTGTGCATTCTAAAAAATTGTAACAATTGACAATAATGGATGTAGCAGTAATGCTGCTCCGATTTCTCTATCATTTGCCTAGTTTTCCAGCCAGTTTTGATTTGCCAAATCTCTTAACACACAGTCTAATAATCATCTTTATTAGAAATGACTGGCAGTGAGTCAAGGCAAGGAAAGAAGGTAGCCTGAGTCTCATGACTTTGAGAGGAATGACTCTCCTGGGCGTTAGCCTTGGAGATGAATGCAGTGGATGTAGAAGCTGGGCAAAGACCGAGGAAGCCAAGCTCTGCCCGTCCACCTATCCTTTCCCAGTAAACACAGGCAGCAAGGGCAGGATGGAGATCTTGGCCCTGCTGGCTGGAGAGGTGCGTGCTCCTAAGCTGCCCTCGCTTTTCCTCTCCTGACTCTCCCCCACCCATATGAGCACCATGTGAAAGTTAAAAGCGGCACAAAAGGGCATAAATATGAGCTGAGGGAGATGAGGGCTGGCTGTTTCTTGGGCGTTCCAGGCATGGAGTCTTCCGAGGAGGGGCGCTCACAGAACTGGTGAGGCGACTTCTGCAGCGGGTCAGGAATCCTCAACTGGCCTTCACAGGAGAGGAACAGGCCTGCCTGCCCAACTAGGCAACCCCAGGGGATAGCTGCACTGGGGTCCCTAGATGTGGGAAGGGTGTCTGTGTGGCATGAAGAAAAGTAAAATGGGGATAAAAAGAACTTTGTAAAAATGTCAAACCAAGCTTCTTCCCCTGCCTCCACAAAATACATCACAAGAAAGTATCCTAATGATTGGGACTTTTCACAAAGAAAACTTCTTGAGGCAAACTATGGAAGCCACAGAGTGAACTCTTCCTTTCTCATTTAAAAGTGTGTCTTAATGACTACTGTAACTTTCCATATTGCTGCCAATTTCCTGGGATATATCCGTATTCTAGGGCATGGGAAGGAGTCTATTTTAAAGGGACACAATTGCAGGGGGGCCTTTGGTCCCCAGATGTTTTCTGGTTTTAAGGGAATCAAAATTTAACATGAAAAGATGCAAAACCTGAAACACTGGAAAGGGATGTTCTGAGCACTGCTGTGTGTGCACATCCTGGGTGGTATGTCTGATGGTCAGATTTGGTGCTACCAGCTTTCATGTTGCTACTGCACAAAAGATCCAAATGCACAAATGAGAGTTATTGGGCCCCAGTTTGAACTGTGAAGTACATCTCACCTCCTGAAGCCGGGGAGAAAATACAGTTTCAATGCACATGACAGATGACTGGGTATGCCTGAGTAATCCTAGCTTTCTAGAATGTTGCTCATGCTGAATTTGTCTATGCCCAACAGAGACCAAGGAAACAGAGAGACCAGTAAACGCACACAAGTAGGTTTTGTCCTTTTGCTCCTGATATTCCCAAGAAAAAAATGTCAGCACCATCTCTTGACATAGATCCCCCAATTTTTCCATCACCAAGAAACAGTTTGGTTTTGTATATCCCCCGAGTTTTTAATATTAAAATGAAAAAAAAAAAAAGATTTCATATGGAAAACCTCCCTTGTATGCAACTAAGGTGGCTGAGATGAAGAGGAAAAAACAAAATACCTTTTTTAAAAATGGGATTCTACCTGTGTGTCATCTCTCTTCCTCTAGAAATGGGAAACACCTGTTCACAAGTCACCCTTTCATCAGATTTCTCCCAGTGCACGTTACTGTCACTTGTTAGATTCTCTGTTACACTCACTACTGGTCCTGGCTGTTGGGGTGTTCATGTTTTATCTCTCTCACAGGGCACTTGATCTGGCATAAAGAACTGGGGACGTTTGTAGGAACAAAGCTGTAAGAGTCCACCAGCGTCCCCATTCCTCATGGGACTCGCCTCCTGCAGGTAATGGACAGAGGCGGGCCATCAGAGGCTCACTTCCTGTCTGGGGAAAAAACACACCAGGTCTCGCAACCTCGGACTGAACTGTGGAGTAGAAAATCTGGAATTCATTATTATTATTATTATTATTATTATTATTATTATTATTTTTGCTCTGCCTGGCATCATTTGCTTTTAAAATTATGTTTTACTTAAACTAATAAGAAGATGGTTTAAATTTCTTGAGCACATATTAACTGGGTGAGAAAGGGATCAGAAGAGAGTTATGACAAGGTGGGAGATGATTCCAAAGAAAAACTGAACAAATCAAAAACCCAAAAGCATGCTACTGAAAACCCGCACTCTTAAATCAGGAGTGGGCAATGGTTATTTTGGGCAATTTTATCTTAATCTCAGAAGGGGAATTACTGCACTAAGCAGTAACCCCTAAAACTCCAGGCGAGTAAGTTGAGGGCAGTGGGCTCAGATGAAACCTCAGAAACATGTTGTTTCGAAACATGTTGTTTCAGGGCCCAGACTTCATCCCTAAACTGCTCTAGAGTTTACTGGAAGGCCCTGCTCTGTAGTGGAGAGGTGACCACCATGTGGGGAACTGGCCTTCTGGCCTCTGTGTGATGATATCATTGTCCTACAGGGCCCTGCTCTCTGCCCTCATTTGTCACCATGGTACTCAGACCACAGAGAAAAGGAACACACACAGGCCTTTCTTTGGGAAGACAAGTGATGTTTATGATGTAGGGTCTCTTTCACAAGCCTGGGGAACCAGTTGTCTGAACACCTGTGCATGTTTCAAAAGCCTACCATAATAGTCAAAGAGAAAGTTGAAATAATGAAAAGTAACTTAGACTTTCATATATTTTTCATTTTAAAAGTGATATCCATGTTATTTATACAAAGAAAAAACCTTTTCCTTCCTTTAAAAAAAAAAAAAAAACCATGAGTATCTTTTAAGCTGTGTTCTCTTAAAACCCACTTCAGACAAAGCAGTTTGGAGCTATGGGGTGAGGGTAAAAGAGAAGGGAAAGAAACTTCAAAAAATCTCCCTTAGTGCTTCTCTATTCTAGCTTTTTATCCCATATTTAAACAAGTCAGAAAAAAATATCATTCAGCAGATTTTGCTCTAAAGGAGCTTCAAGTAAGGAAGAATGACCAGTGATCCTTATTTGGTCTTACTCATGAACCATTTCATAATTAGCTTTCATTTATTCTTAGCATTAACTTCCTGGAGTTTATTTTGCTTTACTGGCAGAGAAGCAAGGCAATCGATCACTTACTTGCTTTCCCTGAAGACCCCCAATTAAACAAAGACCAAGGCAATCCTAACCATGGATTTCATCATTCACCTGAAAACCATCACCTACTGAGAGCCGGCCACACACTCATAGGATGTGTGGACTCCAAAACCCTGGCAAACACAGGACAGAGAGCGTTTCACCCACAGAAGCCTGTGGCCATCCATCCCCTTCCCCCAACAAGTAGTTTCTGTGTAAGGGGAAAAGGTGATGGTCTGTGCTGACTTGGGAGAGGGAGGTCCCTGGGAATTATTTACAGTCAGCAGCTATGAAGTAGTTTATGGGAAATTAATAGTTTATAGAACTTAATTATGGCAGGGGGTGAGCAGTGAGAGGATATTTGGGGATTGCAAGAAAGGTGATCAACTTTCCTGGACTTAGATCTGCAGAGATGCCATAACCCTTCAGAAGATGTAGCTGGGGGAAATAATTAAAACCATTTATTTATCAACAAAGCCAGAGTGGTATATAAATATACAATGGACAAGAACTTCATCTGAAGAGATCGATGAAAAATTAAATTAGAAGGTAACTATAAGACCAAGTGAGAAAGACTGAAATAAATAGGTTTTTGCTTTTGTTTGAGAGAGAGGGGTATGTCTGTGTTCCCCGAATGGAGTGCAGTGGCTAGTCACAGGCATGACCATGGCTCACTGCAGCCTCAGCTCCTGGGCTCAAGCGATCCTCCCATCTCAACCTGCCAAGTAACTGCGACTACAGGTGTATGCCACCATGCCCAGCTTTCAGTTTTTTTTTTTTTTAAACATGAATAACAAAACAACTGCTTTCTGTTATGACATGGGTTCAGTTCAATTTGATACCTTCTAACCGTGCTCTAGAGGCCAGTGCTGCCTGTTGGGCTGGGCCCTGCCTGGGGCCAAGGGCGGCACCTACCTTCCTTCTGGCTGCCTGCAGCGCTCTGCTGCTGCAGCAGGCTCTGGCTGTACAGAGTGGGCAGCGCGGCGGCTGCGTACTGTTGAATTCCTGAGTAGGCCTGGGTGAGGGCGTCCATGGTGCCAGCCGTGCCATTCGTCAAGCCTGTGGCGCCAAGTCCTCCATTCAGAGCCGCCATACCTGAGAGCATTTGAGCAACTTTACAAAAAACCCAACAATAGAGAAGAGAAACAGCACTTATTCATTAGTGCTTTCCAAAGGAAGTTAGAGAATCATTTAAACACAGTACAACAGCAAGTACATGCAGCTAGCACACAATTACACTGACAGGAAACTAAAAATGAAACCATGAAGAAATAAATCGTGATAATGGGGGAAAATGACCTAAGCCATGAGAACCCTCACTCCCTAGGCCAGTGATTCAAATGCACTGTGGCACGAGTTAGACGAGACAGCTCAATGCCATGCAGCGTGCTACTGGCAAGTACCGTTGTTATCTTTTGGAAGTAAAAGCCTTTTGCTTCTGGGAGCTTAGGAGCATGTAAAAAAAAAAAAAAAAACCTTAGTAGCAGAGGCCTGTAACATCTGTACACTGAAATCCATTTACTGGGCTCTTTGAGGAACTATGGGATAGCTTGCAGGGCTGAGGAGGAAAGGATGAAATAAAACTTTTTTCCCTTAGGCCGTGTGATGAGGAAATGGTGGAGAGGACAAGTTCTGTACTCTCGGAACCAGTGGACCTGCAGTTTGAGGAGTTACAGTGTGGGAAAACGGACTTTCTAAACAGCTGAATGATGATGTCAGGGACTAGGACCTTAGGAATAAATAGCCTGGCTGATGAAGAATTGAGGCACAGAAGCCATGTGGACCCTTCCCACAGTCGCAGAGAGCTGAAGCTACTCGTTCGGTATCAAAGTGGTGCAGTTTTCAGCAGCAAATAGTTATTCTGTGCGTGCACGCATGCACACATGCCCAAGTGGCAACTGGGGTTTCGGCCACTGAAAGAGCTCCAGGTCATGTTTTTCAGTCAGCCGGAGACAGAGGTGTGTCTATGGGCTGGACCTTGGCTATCACCTGATGGGAACGGGATGGTGGCCAGTAGACTCGATTTCTCCCCTTGTATCCTGACTGCTCTTTGGCTCTACTGGGGTGGCTGACTGTCACATTTTCCCTGAATACGGAGTCAAAGCAAGCAACACTTTATAGAGTGCTAACTTTCATATCAACTCAGGAAACGGAAGAGGTGACATCACAATTGCCTCTGGGTCCCTTTATGATCACAGTTCTTTAAGAAAAGATGTTTCTGAGAAGAGCTTATTGAAAACATTAATGAAAATCTCAATGAAAGTAGGGCTATTGATTGGAGATATGAAAACAGCAAGGATGGCTAACTGAAAAAATAGGTAAGAAGTCTAATGAGAATGGAGGACAGCTAAGGTAAGGCTGCCTGGAAACACCAGAGAATCCGGCAGCAGAGTGACCTCCACACGCCCAGCAACGCTACTGCCCTAACAGAGCAGGTGGGGAATGTTCTGTTTACTCCACTTGTGCTTCTATTTGGCCAACTTCGCCTCTTCAATTAAAAGGACACATGTAAGATATGAATTAGGCTATAGCTTAACAGTGGAGGACTGTCATTGTGCCTCACCTCGGGTATTCCTGTGCTTCTCAGAACAGACACCAAGCAGGGGTGGCGAGACGAGTGTGAATGGCGTGAGAATGGAGTGGCAGCCTCCTGAGTGCAGGCTCAGTTCAGAGGTGTTGCCAGCTGAGGCCCTGCTGTGTCTGCTTTTGTTTCTCATTATGAAGGGGTCTATCTATTAATGAAAATCATTGAGATTTTCATTAATGTTTTCTTTGGGTCATGCAAGTAAGTGCTGTCCAAAGAGCTTGGATGCAGACTGTCCTAATTACCCTAAATGATCCCTCGGACACCAGCAAATCGCGGCCACCTCCCTGCCGCTGTGCTTCCCCTCTGTCCCTGTTACTATGGCCACCAGAGGGCTGGAGAGTCATTTCTCTATTCCTCCAGTGATCTTACTTCATCCTCACCTCCCACTATTTGTGTGATGCAAAGGAACTTCCGTGTTTTTTGAGATAGGTGAGAGGGGTATGTACAATAACTCGGGAAGGGCTGGACGCTGCTGATAAATTCTGTTGGTCTCACTTTGGCCAGGCTGTTAACGGGTGCTGTGGATTACAGATGATCGCACTCTGGGCACAGTCCTCTGGAAATGCAGATGCCCGTGTGGAGGAAATTCTGGCGGGAGAGGAGCGGCGACTCGCCGCTCTGCTTGGATCTCAAGGCATGAGGTTCTGGGTGTGCCTCGCAGCCTGCAGAGCCATGTGGGGCCTTGCTGCCAGACGAGGACGGGCTGAAGACAGCAGCTCGTCTCCAGTGGACGCCTCCAAGTTCCCATGGAGGGGTGGGCAGCATCGCACCACCATGATGCCTTGTCTGCTGCGGGTGGGAGTTTTCAGGCCCTGTCATGTGAGACCCACGGGGGATCCTTCCTGCGATGTGCAGCCTCCACGACTCGGCTTCTCCAGAGTGCCAGATACACAGGTGGCATTTTATGGCAGTGGTCACTGGGACCCAACTCCCTTCTCTGTACACAGCTGTTTTTTTAATTTCCAGGTCAGAAAAATTATCTTCCTACTTTGAACTCTTTCTCCTTTTTGCCAAAAATGTTTCTCTCTTACAATGCAGAAGCAGAACACAGCTCCTGCTCTTGAAATACTGGATGGATGTTTCAGAGGGTATTGTGAGGCTTGGAGCTCCAGCCAGTGACATTCCAGCCACATCCTTCTCTCCTGGCTCCACTTCACAGAGGCTGGCTGTGTCTCTGGACTACACCTCAGAGCTAATCTGCTTTCTGGAAGGGTCGTGTTTACTTCTGCTGGTGCTGTGCATGTAGGAGACAGCTGTGGCCAGCCCTGTTTCCCTGGGGAGGTGGCAGAGGCGGTACCATGAGCAAGGGATGCAGATGCTCAAGGGGGACCAGTCAGGGGACACGGGGAGGGTTTGGCCTCTCCAGCCAGGGGCTCGCCACCTCCATGGTATAAACATCCATGTGAACAAAAAAGTTCTAACAAGTACCAGCACACTGAGAATATTTTAAACCACAACTATCGTGGAAAATCTGGGAGGGTGGTTCCTAGGTCCAGGGTGGAAAAGTAGCTGAAAACCTGGTAGGGTTTGAAGAACAATCAGAGGCGGCCTTCCACTTCTGAGAACAGTTCCTGTGAGTCACCTGATGTTGTTCTAGATTAATTCTATCAAAGACAGTGTTGGTCAACCCAGCTGCAGGCACTTGATTTCCTCTAAAAGCTCTGGATAACAGAAGCAGAGCTGTGAAGAAAGTCAAGTTGAATAAAATGCTTCCACTTAAAAGAATAGGGCTTTTCCTTGAAATGGTCCACTGGATCGACCATTTCCTCTCATTTATTATTATTATCATCTCCATTCCCATGCATGCTATTTAGACAAGGAAGGCTGGAAGCAAGTGACAGGTGCGGCAGTGCGCAGCAAGGCCTCTGCACCTGGCCCGTCAGTAGGGCCGGCACGCAGCCTGACTACTGAGTTTCTTCTGCCTCATTCCTCTCCAGAGGCCCTCAACTTACAATAGAGACCCAGGAGCTGGGAGATGACTGAATCTGTTAACATGACACAGAAGGACTAACCCATAAACATGAGCGTGAATGTCTTTTGTTGGGGGACTAAGGAGATGACACTGAAAAGGAGAATCACAAGCCAAGTGCCATAAGCAGACCACATTCCCTGCAAGCTGCCCTGCTAGGCTTTATCCCAAATCAAAGAAAAAGGGAGAATGTCTTAATATTCTCACAGATTTGTAACCACTTCACTGGGGTAAGTTTTCCTTTGTATAGATGACGGATTATCCTTCTAAGCTGCAAGCTGATAAATGAGAAGCTAAGTATAAAATATCTAGAACTAAGGTAGATGAAGATGTCTATATGTGCACTGGGTGTCACTTATATATCTGCCTGTGTTATTAAGGGCACAAAGGTTGTGTGGGGCTGTGTAAACTATAGATATTAGGAATACAGATTAAAACAGTAATTTCACAATGCAAGTAGTGCCAAGCCACGAAAATATGCCTGGAGCATCTTCTCTTTTCTCTACTTCACAGAAAATATTTCCATAGACACTTTTCACCAGGCATCTGCAGCTGTTTTTTTTTTTTTAAACAATCATAATTTTAAGCACTATATGGTAAGCCATTTGGAAGCCATTCGAATTATGCATTAAAACAAGGAAAAATAAGATGCCACTTGACATACACTGAAACACATAAAATCAGATACAGACTCTTGGGTGGAAAAAGTATGTTCTTCAACTTAGTTCAGATGTTAACATATAAAACATGCTCAGGGAACCCTGAAAAAATCCAGAGGTGAACACTCTGATGGTCAATCACATGTGTTCCTTCTTCTGATCTGGATGATTCTTACATTTTTAGGGCGCTGTACTGTTTTTTAGCCCTTTGACTCATTAATGTATCAGGGAATAAAAAGGATATCAAACTCAAACAGTTTAATTGAGCTACTTGTCTACTGACCAAAAACTTCGTTTTTTGGGAGAGGTGCTGGGCTCTTGGGCAGGAAAGAGGGTAAAATGTTGGCTCTGGTGAGTCATCTACCTGCTTTCTTGCTGACCGCTGTGTCGGTGGGTAAGAGTTGGCTCTATTCAGAAAACCTGAATACTCTCCATATGGAAACAGATAATGGCTGCTGCAGTGGGGTGGGATTCATAGCAGTGCTATGGAAGCTGCCGTCAACTATTTGAGAAGCTGACTCTGTCCAGGTAACCACTGCTTGACGAATTTCTTTAGGAATTATCCAGTGGAACTGGTAGCATAATCATCTCTGTTGAGAAGGAATGGTCTGAAAGAAGATACTCTATCTTGGAAGGTTTTCTGTTGATATTTAGAGACAAGCAGCAAATATTAGCTCGAGGTCAATGCTGGAGATTGTAAAACGGCTCTGCATTAGTAACACTTTCCAATCACAAGGAATGTATTTTCATTGGTGTCTGGTTTTGGGTTTAATTAAATATTTTCTTGGTTCATACTATCTAGCAGGGGTTATTTGAAATGACAAACATTCTTTCTTCGTTTTCTATGAACTATACAGACTTATATTAACCCATTGGCAAAGAATTTTAAAAAGCAAAACAATTTAAGCCTGTTGTCCTTGCCAGAAGCAAAATGTGTATCACACAAGACCCCACACAAGAACTACTCATGGTTTCTCTGCCATTCAACACAGCCCCTCTCCAGTCCCTGACGAGAACGATGGGAAAATCTCAGCAATGCAGAGCAGAGCAGCGTGGACAGGGCGGGACGCAGACGAGAGGACACACACACACCAGTCATGAGCACGTGCTGAGGAGGACAACCATTCCCACTGGCCTGTTACTCTGCAGACCAAGGACAGGCAGGCGGTCAAATCAAAGTCCTTGTTTTAGGGGAACTAGGTCCTGGGGCAAGAGAAGCAGCATGAGGGGATGTGTGCGAGCACACGCGTCCTCGACCTAGGTGAAGGACAAGGTCAGAGCGAGGAGCTGTACCGGAAATGGGGGTCAAGGCAGTGAGGCTCCTACTTGGCTGCTGGAAAAGTCAAAGCTGGAGGCGGTTCTAACTGGAATAAAACAATGAGGCCGCGGCACAGCTACCACTTCACGGGCTCCACGCTAATCACGAGCCGTCCCATTTGGGAGGTATGGTCAGCTAAAGCTCGGTCCACGTTTTCGCTTTTCCCCAAAAGATGTACTAAATACAAAGATGTACTAAAACCTGAAAAATGTCCTAATTCTGAAAATGATTTATCAGGATTATACAAGTTAATTTTTATTTGGATAAATTTTAGGTTCATTTTCTACCAAGTCCAGTGCAAGGTATTCCGAGCCTTTACAGTATGAAATTACTGGGATTATTTTGCTTTAAAAAAGTATACTGCCTGGTCACCCTTTAAAAACAGTCCACTTATTGAACCATGGCTTAAAATAGGGCAACAACTGTCACGGACTCCTTTATTAAAAATGAGAATGGGCAGGTGCCGGGGTGCCTGGGCTGCATGGTAGCTAACTGGGCTCCCGTATCAGCAGCTCTGTTAGCTGTCGTGGATCTGCTGGGCTTGGCTACTCTCAGGCAACCAGGGGATCTGAAACGGAGGGACAGGGAAATTACATGTCCCCGCTGTGGGCTGAGGATCAGTTTCCTCAGTACAGGAACCCACACCGAGCATGAATCTAAAACACGACTTATCCTCTGGCCGGCACACTGCTCCCCCATCAACCGAGAATGACAGGAGCGGGTGGGCTGTGGAGGACAGAACCTGCAGTTCTCTGGTGAGTCCATCCATATGTTTCGGAACCAAGTACAATTTTCTAAGTGATTTGCCTCCAGCCTATTTCAACCTGCCACAGCTAAATGATGTCCCTCTGGATGGTCACTGATGTAGAGTGACCCATACCTGTGGGTGCTTAATAAAGATTCTGATCATGTCACTGCCAGCAGTGGCTCCTCTCCCCTCAGTTTCATTTCCTTCTTTCCAAGGCCTAATTTTCTCCCCTATTTAATTGTCATGAATCTTTAGACTTTGGAGCTGGAGGCTACCTTTAAGAATCATCTGACCCAGAACTTTCCATTCTCAAATGGAGACTCCCAAGCCCAGAGAGGGAGCAGCATCTGCCTGACTTCCCACAGCTGCCTGGCAGCAGAGCTGGGTTCAGGCTTCCAGCCTTCCAGTCCATTAACTTTTCCCACCGTAACACCCTGCCTCGCAGGACAGAACCGACCGAAACCAAACCAAACCAAACTCCTGGAAACCTGAAAAGAGCTGCCAGCCACAGAACCCCATGGATGAGCACACGCGCTGTGCTACACACTGAAGAGAATCTGGGGGTGGAGAGTGGTTGGGGATTTTCTGAGGCAAAACGAGTGTAGACAGCTTTTGCCTATCAAAGCATGTGCTCCTCCATCCCAAGTTTTAGTTCTCCCCGTGGCATATCCTTTTTCGGGTCATTTCTGGCTGACCACTTTCTGTGGAGAATTTGGGGGAAGGCTGTCCACCAGAGCAGCAAATACTCACTGTTGATGGTACCTGCTAGTGCATTAATATTATTCAGTCCAACAGTGGCTCCAGCCAGTCCTTGCAGAGTCCCGAGAGAGGTCAAGGAGTTCATGGCTGCACCAGCAGTGGAGTTGGGGGTTGAAGCAGCCACTGAAAAAAGGAAAACAGAGACAAGGGGAGAGAAGACACGAGGTGAGTGAGAGCCGAGACTGGAAATCCTTCTGTCATCATCTCAGTGGACGGAGCTGAGGAGCTGTGCTTGTGGCTTTGGGTGAAGGACATGTGGGATTGTACTTGTGGCAATTTTGACAGATTTGGTGATTAAAAAAATCTTCACAGCACTGTTTTACCAATACTGCAAACACACTCACTGCTGGATGGTGGGGAAATCTGCGAATGGGAGGCCTGCCCTGCCAGGTTTAGACATAATGAAGTTGACAATCATTCTTTGGCTTCATTATTGGATAATATCTTGCTTAGTTCTTTTTTTTTTTTTTTAAGCCTATGGGCATGAGTAAGATGGGCCTTTATTTTTCCTTCTTGTACTGTCTTTAGTTTTGCTACCAAGGTTTTGCTAACCTCATACAGTGACTGGGAGAGTGTTCCTATTTTTCTGTTCTCTGGAATAGACTGTGTCAGATTAAAATTAATTGTCATTTAAGTGTGTGGTAGCACTTGCCAGTAAAATGTTCTGGACTTTGTATTTCTTCATGGGAAGATTCTGAAATAGTGATTACATTTCCCTGATAAATAGGATGACTGAACTTTTCTTTTTGTTCTTGAATCCGTTTTACTAAGTTGCTGCTTTCTAGAAATTGCTGTATTTTGTTTTCAACTCTATATTGGTATAAAGTTATTCATAATATCTTCAATAAACTTCTAAAATGGAAAACATTTAAATGTAAGACATTTCTTGGCCTGCCTGATCTGTCAGTTACTGGAAGAAGCATGTGAACGTCTGTCATTCCAACTCCATGTAAACATGCTTATTTTTGGAAATGTATCTTGAAGGTATATTTCTATGCAAGAGGTTACTACTTGCATAGATTTGGAAATTATCCTATCTTCTGGTGAAATAAACCTTTTTGGGGCAACCTTTTTGTTTCTAATTTTTCCTTGAAGTCTGTTTTGTATGATGTTTGGTGTAAGAAAGCCGGCTGTTTTGGGTTTTTGCATTGGATATCTTTTGCCATCTTTTTACTTATCTGTTTGTATTTTGGCTACATCTCTAATACACAGACAGGTTTAAAAACAACACAGCCTGATAATTTAAGTCTTTTACTAGGGGTATTTAGATTTTGTCCTATTTGTTCTGCTAATATTACATTTTTTTCTCTCCTTTCTTGCTGTCCTTTGAGACAGAGGCTCGCTCTGTCGCCCAGACTGGAGTGCAGTGGCATGATCTTGGCCCACTGCAACCCCTGCCTCCCAGGTTCAAGTGATTCTCCTGCCTCAGCCTCCTGAGTAACTGGCACTACAGGCGCCTGCCACCATGACTGGCTAATTTTTGTATTTTTATTAGAGACGGGGTTTCACCATGTTGGCCAGGATGGCCTCAATCTGTTGACCTCGTGATCCGCCCGCCTCGGCCTCCCAAAGTGCTGGGATTACAGGTGTGAGCCTCCAAGCCAGCCAGGTTTGTCTTTCAATTCCATTTCCCCTCTCTACTACTTTGGAAGTCATGCATAGTATTCCTACTCTTTCATATATGGTCATAAAAACTTTAAGTCATCTTTAACTTATGAAAATCAAAGTTACTTATCTTTGCTCTTTGCCAGAACAATTCAAGGATCTGAGAATACTTTAAGGCAGAAGAGCCCCCTCTGAACCCAGATGTGGGATATTCATGTAGTCATGTATTTTACTTGTAGCTTGGTTTTCAGTTTTTATTCAGCACTTCATTATTATTCTTCATACCACGTATTTTGATTTGCCCACATATTTACCACTTCCTTTGCTTATTATTCATTCTTCTTTCACCTGGGTTATTTATCCTTTAGTTTGAAGTTATATCCAATACAGCTTTATTTTGTGAGGGTCTATTGGTGAAAAAGTCTTTTAGCTTTGGTTTGTATGAAAATTACATCTTTATCCTAGTTCATGAAATATTTCTTTCCTGGGTATTCGAGACTGAGAGGTTTTTCCAAGCACATTTTATGGCCTTCTGATTTCCATTATTACTGTTGAGAGGTCAGGTACTGAGATGTTTGTGTTTCTTGGACAGTGGTTTTTCTCTCTGTTTTAAAGATCTTCTCCTTGTCTTTGGTGTTCTGCATTTATCACTATGGTGCTTCCAAGTTTAGATTGATTTTTATTTTCACTGCTTGGAATTCATCTGGATCCCTGAATATGTGGATTTTTGTTTCTACCTTTTATCAGTTCTGAAAAGTTCTTGGTTATTAGCTGCTCTTATATTGACTTTCCCCCATTCTCTTTCTCCTTTCCACTAGGAATTTAGCTAGACCTAAGTTAGATCTATTCCATGTCACTTCACCTCTCATATTCTGTTTCTCGGTTGGGCATCATCTCCAAAATCTGTGTTCCAGCTCACCACATTCTCTTTCAATTGTATGTAATGTTCCGCTAAACTTACATCTCCAAATTTTACAATTTGATTATATTTTTTCATTTCTAGAATGTTATCAACATGATTGGTCATTTTTCATAATCAGTGGCTTTTTCGCTTTTCAAATTCTTTTAATATGTAAACATATTAGCTGTATTTCCTTTCTGTTGTATGCTAATAATGCTAATATCTGAGGTCTAATAATGGTGGTGTCTAATAATGTCCCTGCTATTTCTCACTCTTGGTGCTTGGTTTACTTGTATATTTTGTGGGGTTTTTTTTGGTTGTGAGCTTAAATATCTTGGAACTTTATTTCTAGGAATAATTTGAGGCCTGGGTTGAAGATGGGTTCTTTCAAGATGACTTACATTTGATTCTACAAGGTGCTGGAGGAAACTACAAGCTGGGGATACTTTAACTTCATGGCTTAGGATTTTTGGCCACTCAGATACAATCAAACTGGGTTGTAAACTCACGTGAGGGATGGTTTATTGTTATGAATTCTCAGAGGGAAATTCCCCTGGCCCTACCCAGCACTATGTTTTGAGATAGTCAGTTTTCCTTGTAGTTTTCTAGTGGGGAGTATTTTTTGTTCATCTTTACACTGAGAGTTTAGCCTTTTGAGGTTTCAGGCTCGTATGGGGAGGGTCTCCTATTAGATACTGCACAGGAGCCTTGGACTTCCTTGTATTCCTTATGGTTGGGAAAGCTGTGCGAACAGTTATTAGAATTTATTCGGTTCACCAAATATCCTTAAGGGGAAAGCCACCTTCAATATGCTACCCCTTCTCTGAGTTTCCTCTTTCACTTAATCATTGATTTATGAGTATTCTTTGCTAATTGAGTAGTTATTGATGTCATTAAAAATATTTTAAAAAATCTTACTATACATTTTAGGGTTTTTCCCGGTGGGAGGGTCTTTCCAGTAATCTAGTCTGCCTAACTGCCAGAAATAGAAGTCTCTCCTATTTGGGGTATTTTCTAGGGACTGCATCCGATGCCAGTCTACATGTAATAGTCCTTGCCAGATTGCTGCGCTAGTAAGTAGCGTGTTAAAAACTATCCCTCGCACATGTTTGAATTCTAAACCAGCAAAAAAGGCCTGAACATTTTCACACAATTTTAGGGTACACCAGGGAAGTACTTCTAAAATAAGGATATCCTTGGGCCCTCCTTCCAGTGAAACAACTACAACAGATAAAAATAATAAAAACCAACCACTTAAAGTCTCTGGAAATTGTCCTAAGTGTATAGATGAAGAAATATTTTTCTCAAGAAGATTTATCAAATCTCAGTAAGAGCAGCAAGAATCTGTGGCATGTGACCCACAACCCACAACCTGCTCCCTTCCCTGGTACAAATCCCCTCCTCTGAAGCTCAGCATAAAGGAAGCTCTACCCTGGGCAGGTATGGCCAAGAAGATGGGGCTACCTCTTCCCACAGCTCCAAATACACAGGGTTATGGTTTCTCCCAGGGAGGGGGAGACTACCAACATTGACAATTCACAGCTCCCACCCCTGCCAACTCTGTGGCAGAAGCTCTATTCTAGACCAAGAAGCAGAGGGGTCCCTACCTCAGTCCAGCCTTTACTCATGGAGGGGAAGCTCTACGCTAGGCATAGCATTCTGAGTACTGGGTCCCATTCACTCCATCTCACTCACTGGGTGGAGGTCTTATGCTGGGAGAGGCAAGGAGAGAAGACCAGTTGCTCCTATGCTCACACAGTACCCTTCCTGTAGACCAGAGGTGTCATTCACAGAAAAGCAGGCCACTGCCCCTGCACCACCTCCAGAGCAGGGAGAGACAGGTCACAAGAACAAAGGGCTCTGTAACTTCCCCTAAGGATAACTAATTATTTGGAACAGAGTATAGGAAAGTTCAAACCTCAGGCACTGTCAGAAACAAGATAAATTTTGTTGGTGAGCAATTAAGAGTAGGCAGTAGCTCCATGATGGCAAAGTAGACCAGCTGAAAGCTTAGCAGAGAGGGCAGGGAAAGGGACAGCCAGAAAGAGTCCTCCTGGGATCAGAGCAGGCCTCAAGGACTGGCCGAAAGAGCACCCCTACGAAAGGGCCCAGCCACAGTCAGAGCAGACTGTGGGGACAATCAGAGCAGACTGTGGGGACAATTTATGCTCCTGGGCCAAAAATAATAGCGCAAACAACTGAAGATTAGTGGAGGCTAACAGCTGGAAGTGAAAACAACAGAGATACAGCAGCCAGAAACTTAACAGAGATCAGGCAAAGAGGCAGTGAAAGGGAGCTGTCTGGAAGAATTTTGTAATTTAACAAAGGAAAAATAGGAATGTCACTCATAGCTCAAGGCTGTGGCCTCTGAGGAGTGACAGCAGAGGCACAGTGCAGGGGAATAGACTTCACTGAATTATTCTTGCTAAATCAGTAAGGAAATAAACACAAATGAGAAGCCAGTGGGGAAGGGGTGATGTGCAGTGGGTAAGGAGGATTAGCACCCAGAAGTGCTGTAACATCTACAATGTCCTGTTGTTAATAGAAAGCTATGATATATGCAAGGGAACAAGAACATGCAATCCGTACACAGGAAAAAGCAGACAGCAGACAACAGAAACTGTGCGTAAGAGGGCCCAGATGTTAGACTTGGTGGACAAAGACATGAAAGCAGCTATTATAAATATGATAACAATCTAAAAAATCATGCCTAAAGGATTATAAGTGTAATTACAATGTTTCATCAAATAAAGAATGCCAATAAAAAGGCTGAAATTATAAAAAGAAAAAATTGGAAATTCTTTTTTGCATTTTACAAAGTAAATCTATTTCTTTCAACATTCATAAATCAACACAGTACATGCAAGTAAGTAGGACAGAGGACACTTGCAATTCTAAGAAAATCATACTGCCTAGCATGTGATAGACATCTACCAGGCAAATGGCAAACGGCAGCATTTTAAAATTTAACTTTCAGTAGGAAAGTGATGGAAATAAAAATTAGCCTAGACAGTTCACCATACAAAAACAATTTTAAATGAGGGTAAGTCCAGTGAAATAATCTGCAAAATACCTACACAACTTTAATTAATAAATAAATGTGACCTGAATTGAACTGACAAGTTTTAATAGGCTATATGTAATTTACTTGTGTCCTGATTTAAAAAAATGGAAATTCTGGGGCTGAAAAGTAAAAACCAAAATGAAAAATTCACCATAGGGCTCCACAGTTGGTTTGAGTTGGCAGAAGAATGAGTGAACTTGAAGATATACTGATAGAGATTTTACAATCTAAAGGATGGAAAGAAAAAAGAATGGAGAAATGAACAGAGCCTCACAGAAATATGGTACACCATTAAGCACACTCACACACATGTAAAGTGTGTAATGCATGCACTAAAGACCAGAAAAAAAATTTCAAGAGATAATGGCTGATAATTTCCCAAATCTGATGAAAGACAATAATCCACACATGCAAGAAAATAAACAAACTCCAAGTAGGATAAATGGAAAGAAATCTATACCCTGGCACATGACAGAAATATGTTGAAAGTTTAAGAGAAAATCTTGAATGGAGCAAGAGAAAAATGATTCATCATGGATCCCAGTAAGATTAACAGCTGACTTCTCAGCAGAAACAATGGATGAGAAGTTAGTAAGATGACATATTCAAAGTGCTAAAAAGAAAAAACCTATTAACTCAGAATCTTATATCTAGCAAAACACAAGACACAAAACACAAGACAGGCTGTTGCTCTTAGTCTCTGCAGCTTGCACTGTGCAGAACGTCATCTTACAGCACAGACCTCACCAGTCTCCCCACCTTTTTGCACTGTAAGTGGGGATGGTCACCTGCCTGCCTCTGTGGTGAGCAGGGGAAGGATCATGGAGGTTGGCTGGCATGGGGCATCACTGAGAAAGGCAGGAAAAAGGGTCCTGGCCCAGCCCCATTGCTACTGAAAAATGAAACTATAGCTCTTAATAAAGAACACAACTCTATAGTTTCATCAGCTCTTTTCAGTGGAATCTTAAAAACAAAACACAAAACAACTGGAGGCAAAATGGGGTTTCATTAAGCCTGCCTTGTTCCCTCATCTCCCCAACCTTCTGTTTCATTGTATTTAAACGGAGGAAGAAGAAGGGCACTGAATTCACCGGGTTATTGTAAAGATTAAATAATCTATGTAATGAATTTGGCACTGTATTTGGCACCATTTTTAGATCATCATCAGTTATTAGGTAGAGGCTGAACAGAACAGACAAAATGATATAGGATCTATTTTATGAAACAATGAAAGCAGGTAACACTTTTCCCCACTTTCATCTAAACATCTCCAACTGTTGATGACTGCACAGCCACTGATCTGGCTTCTGCTGGAGGACCTTCTCCCACCTTGCAGGAAATCACAGGAGGGCCCTGTATGCCAGGCTGTAACCTTTCTCTTCCTATGATGTCCACACTGTGAACTGCTGGCCCAGAGATGCTGCCTGCTGCGCCCCCATCCAGGTGCCTCCAGAGTAGTGCCCGTCAGAGCGCGCTTCTAGAGAGTGCTTCGCCCTGGGGCAAGGGAGAAGAGGCGCTGGAGGACACCAGGCCTGGCTGATCTTGTGCTTAGGGAAGACTTCTCAAATCCTCCAAGTCTCCAAGGTGGGTCTGCAAACAGGTGTGTTGATGCCACACACTGCTCTCATGTGGCTGACTCCCAATGGTGATGGCAAACAGTGAGTTGGACAGAGAACTCCTTAGGCACAGATACACGCACAGCCTATGAGCATGGGGCAGCCTAGCTCAGGGGGCCATAGGAGAGGTGGAGGCGGCCTAGAAACTCCCTGGGCCCCTTTTGTTATTGATGACAATGAATCAATATGCAAATTAGGTCTCTTTACACCCTGGCTTCCTATTTAAAAACTGGGAGGCTGGCTATAGTGAACTGGACATAATTTCTCACTTCTTACTACGCTGTTCTTAGACGGTCCCAGTAGAAAGTTGGGGAGACGGTGAAGAAAAGGAGGGAGAAGAATCAAGCATGAGACTAAGAAAAATTAACTAGATGACTTGCCTTAAAGTGGAAAGACTCCCTGTGCACTCTACATCATCAGACAATACTTTGAAAATTCACCCCAACTGGCATCTCAGTTGTAAGAGGGTAGTTTTATTGTACATTTAGCCACCTTTAAGAACCTTCTGAATGTTAACAAATAATTTAAAGCATAAGAAAAACTCCAATTTGTCACACAGCCAACCTTGATCAAGTACCTAAAGACTGACCGTTCAGCAGATGCACAATTGAGAAAGAGGTCTTAGACAGAGACACATGCGGTGCCACCAACACCCAGACTCTCCATTTCTGTGCTGGCAGGCTGGCAAGATGCTGCCTCGGACAACCATCTGCATTCTTCCCACCTCAGATTCCTTCAGTCTGTGCTGAGAACTGTACCCTACGCTTTCTCACTTAAAAGTTTTACAAAATGCCAAAGGAGCATCTCAGGAGAGGTGCGGTCTATAAATGTTGGTTCATAATCTCCCAGAACACCTCTTCAAGCAGAGGCTGCACCATCCAAGCAGGAGGAGGCAGAACAAAGCCAAGAGGATCCCAG
Organism: Homo sapiens; assembly: GCF_000001405.40. Classification (NCBI taxonomy): domain Eukaryota; kingdom Metazoa; phylum Chordata; class Mammalia; order Primates; family Hominidae; genus Homo; species Homo sapiens. The sequence continues at coordinate 11,306,157 of NC_000010.11, read as the reverse complement.
ACGGAGGCTGCAAAGTGCACCTCACCTTGCTCGCACAGTGGCTGCAATAACTTGGATACGTCACATTTTAAGCCTGTTGTACCACTGGTTAAAACCTATCAATCAGGCGACGGACGTTCAGGCCAGCTGGCGTGCCAGGAAAGAGAATGGTTGAGCAGGCAAGGATGGCCATGGTTTTATCAGCTCATGTGCAGACAAAGTCTGTGGCCTTTTGTGAAAACTGTTTGTGGGGCAGGGTGGGGTGTGGAGAACAGGAAAAGCGAGGTGGTCCAGAGACCCTGATGGTGAGGATATGCCCACCTTGGCCTGGCCACAGAAGTTCTTTGCTTGTTTGCCCAGATAAGCTCACTGTTGGAAAACTACAAATTGAGTAATCCCAAACACTAATCCCAACTGAGGGGACGGGATGGGTTCCTTCTCCTTAGAGCTGTGCTAGGTCTGGGATGAACACTACACCCAGAAGAGATTCTTGTCTTAGGTTAACACTGTAGGTCAGAGACCGAGTGCCTAGGTCATTAGGTGCTAGATCATCACCTGGAATAACTCCCGTATAATATCTCCAACAGAGCTGAGAGCTGAACCCCCCAACCTTCCTTCTCTTCCTAATCCCACTGACAATAACAGGTAATAGGACATCTTTCAGACGGATATTTTACTGCAGGTGGGATCCTCCCAGGCAAACTGTGAACTAGACTGGAGTCTTTCCTGCGCTTGAAAGATGAGGAAGCAGAGGCCCAGAGTGTTGAAGGGACTGGCCCCGGTGTACCCGTGAGGGATGCAGGATGGGCGCCGGCACCCAGGTGTGGGCATGAGGACTCCACAAGGAGGCCAATGGCCTTTGCCACTTAGGGATACAGCAGTTGTGGAGGAAGGGCTGTTTGGAAGCTCTCTCAAACCAACTCAAATAAATTTCCAGAGAGGCAAGGACCTGAGCTCCACTTTCCAGAAAAAAGTTCTTTTCTCTGCTATGTGGATAACCTGGACCACCTCCCCCTAGCCCCTCACCAGCCTTGGATTTCCTGTGGGAGGAGGGGTGACTATCAGACTGGTAGAACTGGGAAGGACCTGTATCCACTGGGCCAGGGCTGGAGGAGGGGCACCGAGTTGAACCAGAAGATGCCGATGCGTGTTTGACAAAGGCATTCCCGTTCTCTCTTCTCTCTCTGTTCAAACAGCGCCATTCCTGGATAGGTAAATGAAGCTTATTTGGGGCCTAAGGGCTATGTTTGGAGAGGGAACTAAAAATTACTATTATGTTCTCTGTTCACCCCCCAGCCAACCCGAGACATCCATGTCCTAAGTCCTGGAACCTGTAAATATGTTAGGTTACATGGCAAAGAGAAAATTGTAGATGGAATGTGCTATGGTTTCAATGTGTGTTCCCCAAATTCCATATGTTGGAAACTTTATCCCCAATGTGGCAGGGCCTTTAAGAGGTGATTGGATCATGAAGGCTCTGCCCTCATTAATGGATTAATCCGTTCATGAATTAGTGGGTTAAGGAATTCATGGGTTATGTAACAGGAGTGGAAGTAGGGCTTTATACGTAGAGGAAGAGCGTCCTGAGCAAGCATGTTAGCACACTCAGCCCCGGCCATGTGATGCCCCGCACTGCCTCAGGACTGCAGAGTCCCCACCAGCAAGAAGGCCCTCACCAGATGCACTGCCTTGACCTTGGACTTCTCAGTCTCCAGAGCTGTAAGAAATAATTCCTCTTTAAAATAAATTACTTTCAGGTACTCTGTTATAAGCCACAGAAAATGGACTAGGAAAGTTGCTGATCAGCAGAACTTGAGATGGGGGAGGTTATTGTGGATGGTCTGGGTGGGTTTTTGTAAATGGAAGAAGGAATCAAAAGAGAAAAAATCAGAGATGGCAGCATGAGGACTTGCTGGCTCTGAAGATGGAGGAAGGGGCCATGAGCCAAGTAAAGCTGGTGGCCTGCAGAAGCCGGGAAAGGAAATGGATTTACCCCGAGAGCCTCCAGAAGGAACACACCCTGCTGACACCTTGACCCTAGCCCAGTGAGTCTGCTGGGTTCCTCATCTACAGAACTGCAACATAATAAATGTGTTGTTTTAAGCCATGAGGTTGGTGGTAACTTGTCATCTCAGCAACAGGAAACTAACATTCTGCAGCTCCACCGTACTGGGAATAAAGCTAACAGTGAGCACAGCTAAGGTGTGAGTGCTTGCCACGTGCTGCTCATTGCCAAAAGCACGTCACATGCCTTAGCCTATTAAGTCCTTTACAGTTATCCTGTGAAGTGAAGTCGCGTGCGGAAGGTCACACAACTCTCAGTGGCAGAGCCAGAATTTAAACCCAGGGGTCTGGCTGCAAAGTCAGCATTATGTTGATGTGGAAGTCAAGATTCTATTTCCCCTCTTATGTCTATCTAGTGGCTACTGCAGAGATTTACTTATGGAAGCAGTAAACTTGCACTCACTCAGATTTGCCTTTAATTTTTTGGCTCTGTTCCTTCCAGTCTGTAAGACCTTAGGCCATCTGCTCCATTCAGCTGAGGCTTAGTGTTTATTCACGAAACGGGAGTAACACACACTGCCTCTGCGGATGGGCGTGGCAATCCAAGAAGGCGGCACTGATGTCTGATGCACAGCGGGTGATCAATAAACGTGTGTTCAGTCTGTATCTGAAGGAGGAGAATCTGGGTATTCTGTCCTCAAAAGAGGAACTGCATCTTTACACTTCATTTTACAGCACTTGCAATGAAGATTCAACATCTTCTTCCCCAGAGTGGCGACTGGATGGATGACTAATTTTGCAGCCTTTCTCATTAGTCCAGTCATTGGGAAGGTCAGTCTGTGTGTATAGTTTTGAGAGCGTCCCGAGAAGGGTGACCAGACATGAAAGTTGAGTTGAAAGAGAGTGAGCTGATAAGAGTAAAATTGAGCCTAGAGAGGCAAGGGACTAAGGCAAGAAACAGTCTTAGGTCTTGACGTGAGAAAGATATTCTTTGCAGCTCAAGAGATCAAAATTAGGATCAGTGGGTGGAAGCTGTTCAGAGGCAGATTTTAGTTCGATACAGAGGAGAGCCGGCTAGGGAAGAAGTTTCCGCTGGGCCACCTCTGAGGCACTCGAGTCCCTGTTTGTGGGGTGAGAAAGCAGATGCCTCCGACATGTATCAAGGGGGTTTCTGTAGACCCTGAGGCTAGGCTTGATGGCCACAAGGTCCAAAAAGCCAACTATTGAAAAGCTCTTATTGTTGTGCCAAACACACGCTGGCTTCATCTCCTGGCAGAGAAAGAGAGGACTCCGGGAAGGCAGGATTCTAATGCTTCCAGGCAGAACTCTGGTGAAGGCTCCAACTTCCACTGTCCGCAGCACAGCGGAACAATGTGAAAATCTCATGTCAATTTAGAGACCCGAGAACAAAGGATCGACATAAATACAAGCCCCATTAAGCTTAAAATGGAAACAGCTTTTACTTTCTCTCCCGGGGAAACCTATACACAGCAGCTGCCACACCAAGTACACCCAACTCGATCCTAAATGACCAGATCACAGAGAAAGTCACCAAGAAAAAGACCACAGTTGTGTGGTGTCAAGTCCCTTTGGCCCAGGGCCCTGGGCTGCGGATGCTCTGCAGGCCATTTGGTCAGAGTTCTTGTCTGGGGGAGGCGGGCCCAATCCTGTCCTTTGGGGGCACTGCAGCCACAGACACATTTAATGGAGAAGATCGTTACTGTAAAGTTACAGCCTCGCCCGCATCGGCACCACCTGGGGCTCCCCTCACTCCCGCTGAGTCAGACGCTCTGGTTGTGGGGCTTGGGCATCTGAGTTGAACCAGCCCTCGGCGCTGCTTTTGCATGCAAACATTAGAGAACCACGTGTGTCAGGACTATCCGATGCGGTGCTGTCAAATTCCATCACGACTGGGTGAAAACTTGATTCTGAGGCATGAGAAGGTGAGAGGCTGCAGGGAGTGGGAAGGTTTGGTTTGTGACAGGAAAGGGCAACAGTCACTGGGCACCAAGGAACCCAGAGTCAAAAACTAGGTGAGAGTGGTAAGTTACGGTTCTGTTCTTCCAGAGGAAAAGAAACCCCACCAGAAGACAGCCGGTTGAAGAGCAGGGATTTGCTTGTCCGTTTCCCTAGAAACTATGAGAATCACTGGTGCAGCGGGCACTGAGCTGGCATCTGCTGAGCGGAGGAGGGGCAGGCGGTTCCAGCGAAGGCGGAGGCGGCTGACCTGGGCGCCCTGTCTGGCTCTCTCCACATGAGGCCCACGTGCAGGCCCTAGTGCGCTGGACAAGGGCCTCGCACTCCACCTCCCGCGGCCTAACTGGGGCTCCTCACGACATGGGTGAGCCTGTGGCCCCACCCAGGACCCTCATCAAACCATTCCCTTCTGCTTATGTGCCAGAGAAAATAGGAAGAGCTTCAGAAACAGAGTGGGTAAAGCCAGTTGCTGCCGTGGTGCCACCGGGCCAGGGCCAGAGAACCCCTCCGTTCCTCTGATGCAGCTCAGAAGCAGGGCTGCCGAGGGCCACGCTCAGCTCCCAGGCCGCCACTCTGCACAGGTGGGAGCTGAGGCCCAGTCCAAGCCCGTCCTGGAGAAGCCCACCTCCCCTCACTGGAACGGGAGTCGGGGCCGGGGGCAGCGGGAGCGGGGTGGGGGGTGCTGTGGGAGCGGGGTGGGGGGGTGCGGTAGGGGGGGAAGCGAGGGGGGTGAAGTGGTGGGGGGAGCGGGAGTGGCGGGGGGGCGGTGGGAGCAGGGTGGGGTGCGGGAGGGGGGGAAGCGGGGGGAGGGGGGAAGTGGGGGGGAAGCGGGGTGGGGAGCGGGAGCAGGGCCCGCATAGGGGCTCCAGTGGGCTTCTTATTCTGTGTAGAAGGTGGGATGGTGAACAAGACTCTTGATTTGGGGTGAGGCTGCCTGCGGAGGAACTTGGGTATTCCTCCATCCTTCTAAAGATTCCAGATCCACGACGAAAGGGAGAAAAACAGCAATGAGGGGCTTATCCATCTCTCACATTTGCCAGTTCTTTATTTAAAATATAATTCCCATATGAATTTTCCCCTTCGCCCTTGTCTTGGTCTCAGTGTATCTGCAGGGCATGTCTAGCGTTAAGTCTGTCCCAGAAACTGGCTTGCTTTCTAGGAACAAATGCATTAATGTTCTCATATTAACCCTACTCCCCACTCTTCCTGGATAGCAAAATACTTTTTTTTAAAGCTGCAACAAAACAACATTAACAGAAGACAGCAAGAATTTGCCTTCGGTGCCCTCGTTAAACACTTTCCACAGAACAATTAGATAGTGAAAACACAGTGGCTTTGTGGTTTAGGAAATAAAATCATTGTAAACACGGAGAAAATCGCCTGCATTGACCAAACATACTCAGGACACTGGAGCCCGCGGTCGCCGTTTTGCCTCAAACGAGCTTGGATGCGGAATTCCAACTGCGCAGGAAAAGATTGTGAGGAAGTAGGATAATTAAGCCATGACACAGGCACTAGCATTACTAGCCAATCACAACCCTGGGGCATTAATATACTACGCCTCTCCCCCCGTGAGGCCTAATTATTCCACAATAACCACACCTTTCATTTTAATTTAGTCCCTCGAAGATAGTTTGGGCAGGGAGGGGCGGGGTGACTGAGGAAGAGGAGGTAGGGTTGGAAAGTGACACTGGGCGCTGCAGTGGTGAGGTGTGACCTCACACTCCCAGCCTGGAAGAGGGTACCTTCCCCAGAGACATTGGTGCCCCTCTCTTCTGCTGCCAGTTCTGCTTCCCAAGGAAGCTGATGCCACCTGGCTTGGTGCAGTGCTGGGCAAGAGTCATCACTACTGGTTCTCAGGAAGACTGGGAAGAGGAAAATTCAGTCTAGAGGGCCGGGTCTGGACTCAGAACGACTGCTGAGGCTTTATTGTACGGTGGCACACATGTGGAAGGCGGGGAAGTGAGGGGCCAGCACCTGCTCCTCACGTCCAAAGCAGCTGTCCTGTTTCCACTCCTTTAATGTTCATTCCCAAAGGCTTGTGGAAGCTCTGTCTAGTGGATCTAAGAAATCTACTTCATGGGTTGTCAATAAACCAGGGTGCCTCCCTACCCGGCCTAATTTTTAGCATCTTCCCCAGTCCCGTGAAGACGGGCACTCATAAAGGCAGTGTGGGGCCATGAGTTTGGAAGAGTCCATTCATACAGGCAGTACACAGGGATCTCCTACGAGCGGGGCAAATGAGAGGGAAAAATCAAACCTCTTTTCCCTGCCAATGATATTTTGCTTATGATTTACTGAAACAAAAGTATATACTTCCCCTTTAGCTGGCCCCAGATGTTTGTTTTTACAGATGGCCCGGAGAAGGACCGAAAAAAAAAATGTTGATGATCTCCTTACAAGGGGGACAATGTGTAATTGGCGAAACCCAGAAATACGGTTCTGGGATCCCAGGAGTTCCTGCTTAGAATATGGACTGTCTCGTGGTGCGGTGGCGCTGTCATTTCACCTGTCACTAACATCCCGGGCAAACCACTGACCCTTGCAGGCCTCTGTTTTCCTCACGTGGATCACAAAAGAGGCAGTTGGATACATAACAGCAGCTGTAGCATTTAATGATGGGACCGGGCTCGGGCCTCTGAAGAGAAAGGGCAAGGACAGGGGCTTCTCAGGAAAGCAGGCCCATGTCACCATGTCACTGACAGCCTGTCTGAAGTCTGGCCTTCCTGGGGGGGGTTGGGGGGCAGCTTGTCCAGATGGAGAGAACATCATTTCTGGGAGGCAGATTTTCCTCTGGGCAACATGACCCCAATGGTAGCAGGGGGCAAGAGGTCACCTGGCGCAGCCCAGGGACGTCACAGCAGGGCTGCAGGCTCGCTGGGGCGCCGCGTGGACTCAGTAGGACTGCTGCCCCTGCAAGGGCCCGGTGCAGAGCACGCACCACCCGCCGTGTGGCCCGAGATACAAACCAACAACTCCCCAGGGGCCTCAGGCCTGACCCTTAGTGCAGAAATCCTGCCTGGACACAGCAGTCTTGCTCTGTTTAACCCAGTCTTACCATTTTGTATTTGGTAAGGAGGGGATATTGGTTCTAGGAGCTCAAGTGGCATTTGTGGTAGGTAGAAAGTTCCCCGTTCCCTTGAACAGCAGAACACAAAAGCAGAAAGGAGTGAGGAAACTGTCTTCTCCCTGTATTTACATCCTAATTTTTAAAGGAAAGGTGGGGAGATACTTGTTTTCCAAAGGCAAGAGATTCAGAGAAAAATATCATTGGACCTTATTCTAGTTTTAACCCAGTTAAACATCATCGGACCTTATTCTAGTTTTAACCTAAACATCATCAGCCCTCATTCTAGTTTTAACCTAGTCTTCTGTTCTCCAGAGCTGTGGTATTTCGTATCACTCCAAAATAATGATTCGATCTTTCCCATATATGATACTTAAACATCGTTTTTTTAAAAAAGCACCAGTATACATTTACATAAATATAAATATGTGTGTATATATAAACCTCAATGTTTCCACAAGAAAAGTGAGTATTAGCAATTAATTCTATTTCACAACTGAGAAAATAATTAAGATTACATTACTTGCTCCAATGACTCTTGATCAAGATGTCTACATACTCTAGAAAGACAAATATAATTAGAAATCCTCTGTTACATTCTGTAGGTTGACTTTTTCTTAAACCTCTGCCCCGGCATGAGTTTTTGTTTCTAGCCCCAGATATATCAATTCTTGGCCCATATGTGATATAAGTACCCTTCTGTCCTAAATTCTTGGCATCCTCCCCAATCCTGACAGAGGTCAGTGTTCCCTCCCTCAGGCTGCACCACCTGCTGACTCAGCCCTGATTCAGATTTGTGCCTGTTGGCTTGTGTGCTAGTACCAGGTCGAGATGGCACCACAAGGCCAGGGTGCTGCTGTGGGGGCTCCTCCCAGGGGGAGATGACATGTGACCCGACCCTCAGAAGGCAGCATCCCCCTCGCCACAGGAGAGGGACACGCTGGAGGCTGAGCTCATCCCTCCAGCCAGCCCTCCAACTCTAGTCCAGCTTTCAGCTCTCATTGGCCTATTCCTGTTTCCCTTTGTTCTGGCTCTTCTCTTTGGTCTACAGATATGTTTTGTTTCTCCATCTTAAAACAAAAACATAAAAACTTCTTCCCCTAGTGACCCCAGTACTTTTACAGATTTTTCATGTTCTTTTGTTTTTTAAGATAGAGCCTTGCTCTTGTCACCTGGGCTGGAGTGCAGTGACGTGATCTCGGCTCACTGCAACCTCTGCCTCCTGGGTTCAAGTCATTTTCCTGCCTCAGCCTCCCGAGTAGCTGGGAACCACAGGTGTGCACCACCATACCCGGCTAATTTTTGTATTTTTAGTATAGACAGGGTTTCACCATGTTGGCCAGGCTGGTCTCAAACTCCTGGCCTCAGGGAGTTCCTCAAGGAACTCCTGCCTCAGCCTCCCAAAGTGCTGGGATTACAGGTGTGAACTGCCATGACTGGCCCCATTACAGATTTTTAAAAATATTCACATTTCATGAACATGTCATATAGAATTGTGTCCTCTCTCACTGCCTGCAAAACTGTCAACCACTGCAGTGAAGCAGCCAGTCTGGGGAGAACCCACTCCCCAACTCAAACTTCAGTCAGCTCTTTCTGCCTTTTCCTCCTCCAGCCCCATCCTGCTTGGCTCCCCTGACACTGTGCTACCCAGAAAGCTCCCTTTCCATCCCCTGGTCCCTCTGTTCCACAAGCACAGACCCCAAGGCTTTCTGCACCTGGTCCCCGCCTTGCCTTGCTGGTGATTTTGGCCTGATGACCTCACCCCTCCCCGGGCTTAGGGCAGCCCGCCTGGCCTCTGCAGGTCAGTCTCAATCCACTCTGCAGCTCCCGGCTCTGGTCAGCCTGATGGTCACACATCCAACTGCTGCTGGACACATTTCACGGAATGTCCGTTCATGTGCACTTGAGCTCTCCATGTGCCACGTCCGATCATTTTATATGACAGCTTCCTCCTCAACTCCCCTCACAACTGAGAGCAATGCTCCACTGGCCACCCAGGCCCAACACACCATATCATTTTTCCTCCTTTCCTTTTGTTCTCCCTCACATCAAATGGGTGCCTCAGTCCAGTCACACAGGAAGTCTATCATTCTTGGGCCTAAAGTCCTGAATAGCTCTTCACTGCTGACAGGAAAAGTCCCAGCTCCTGAGCCCCGGCTCTCAGGGTCCCCGGTGGGCATCCTTTTCCATATGTCCATGCTTGTGAAAAGTGAGATGAACTTCCATTTGCTGATTAAATGCTATTTCTGCATTTTCCCACATTTGATGTATCTTCCATTCTGCTTCTACTTTTAAACATCCTACCCACCCTGAACATTTTGGCTCAAATGTCAACTCTTCTACTAAAATTTCCCTTACTTCCTTGGGGCAGAATCTCTCCTGTCACTGACCCCTGTACCTTACCTGCCTTCCTGCTGTCTGTGCTGTACAGGTCGGTACATTTTGCTTGTGTTTGTAGGTGGCCAATGCATCTAGTTGATGGTGACGGGTTCTCGGGATTAAACCACATCTGAACTAAAAATTTCCATTTTATTGCTTTCAAGTCTGAAGAAATGGAACTTACAGTATACGCTTCTGGGAAGTTGTGACTAGAATAAAGCTTTGCTGATTTTCCCACCTAATATAACACAATTAAGCAACACATGCTTTTCACCAGTGCTAGTGGTGATAACATGTTTGTATCATACAAGATCACAGAAATAAAAATTTCTGTGATTTAGTGAGAATAAAAAATCTCATTAAGTGGCTGGACAGAAAACACAGCCTGAGCTCATATAAACATCACAAGGGGATCTGATGTGGATTTGCCACAATACAGAAGAGTGTGCAAAGCAATATTTAAAAACAAATCACACTTAGCACAGAGTCCAGCGCCACCAACAGCAAAAAGCAAATACGTGAAGAATTAGAGTCAATGTCTGCACATGTTAAAAAGCCCACTCAAAACAAGGAACAATGCGCTTGGTGAGTGGCAGCCCTAAGATGCACGCGAGGATCTGTCCATCCCGGGGATGAAGGCACCCGCCAAGGAGAGCTCAGGGCACAGGTGGAATCTACTTGCATAAATCCCAGCGTGGGCTCTGTGGTGAACCGTAAATATCTCTACCCCCAAAGCTGCGCAGCTTTATTAAGCTTTAAATTGGTTACAGACTATTAAGAGACTCCAGCCTGCTCCAGGTTGGGGCATTGCACCAACTGCCTGGAGTATCCATCCACTCACTAGGCAGAAGTTCATTGCACACCCAAACTCCCTCCACACAAGGGGCCCTCAAAACCCCTCTGGGTGGGAGGGGTTTGCATGCTCTCTCCTCCTTTAGAAGCAGGATGATCAATGCCAAATAAAGGACATTTACTAGGCAGACACACTGTTTCCAACTACTGTTCTCCCCAACAGTATCAGTCTTACATGCCGAAGAACTTTCAAACCACCTGGTTTGTGTGTCATGCTTCTGTGGAGAAGCCACAGAGCAGCCCGAGCAGCAGGGCCAAGGGCTAAACCCTCTCGCTTTCTGGTTTGGCCACTTGCAGTTCTACCTTAAGGGGGGCCCTACTCCCAGCTCTCTGCTGCACCAAACACACAGAAAGATGGTACAGCTCAAAGGAGAGGAAGAAAGGAGAGAAGAGAGCTTCCCTCTCCCACTCTTGGTCTCATTCACAAAATTTAACGTAAGATATACAAAATATTGGTTATGACGTTTTAAGAGTGTAGAAGTTACAATTTATACTTAAAGGCTATTCAAATTGTTTTTACCATGGTGTGAATTCAGTAAAATGACGCTTTTCTTAAAAGCTGATGCTAGAAGAGAAAGGACATGCAGGTAGGAATCTTCATCAGCTTTGTCTACTGATGTGTCTCCAGTGCTGGAACAGTTCCAGGCACACAGATGCTTGATACATATTTGTTGAATGAATGAAAAAAAAAATCTATCAAGAGGTGACAGTCACTACAGAGTCATTTTATTTACAGAACATGTTATGTAATGTGTGACTCCATTAACATTAATGAAAATAAAGTGAGCCCCATAATGTCACGAGCAAAGAAGACAATTTTCAGAAAAGCAGTGTAAAATGTTGAAACTTGCAGGAAATGAGCAAAGACCGGGAGGTCAGTGCTCTTTCTACTGCAGCAATAAGAGTGTAAACAAGTTTGACTGTCAGCACCATAGGAAAGCTAAAATAAAAAATGAAAAGACGTTTGACAGATTTGTTGTTGTTGTTGTTGAGAAAGAGCCTCACTCTGTTGCCCAGGCTGGAGTGCAGTGGTGTGATCTTGGTCACTGCAGCCTCTGCCGCCTGGATTCAAGTGATTCTCCTGCCTCAGCCTCCCGAGTAGCTGGGATTACTGGCACCTGCCACTGCGCCTGGCTAATTTCTGTAGTTTTAGTCGAGACTGGGTTTCACCATCTTGCCCAGGCTGGTCTTGAACTCCTGACCTCGTGATCCACCCGCCTCGGCCTCCCAAAGTGTTGGGATTACAGGCGTGAGCCACTGCGCCTGGCCGTGTGACAGATTGAAACCCACACATGAACAGCCCATTTTACCAACTGGCTTGACTCTGCCTGACTGAGACACTTAGCCGCTAGTGGAGGGAAGAATGGTCTACCTTGAGATTTCCTTCTTTCTCTTAAGAATAAACAATGACAAAAGATGGGTGTAAGAAGAAAAAGAGGACGGTAAAGGCTAAGCCCATCTTCCCAGGAATAACTGGTCCCCTGCACTTATAAAATGCCCTGTGTTTTATAAGTGTGGTATAAGTAAAAAATACTCTAAAAAGCAAAATGGGACCTTGCTTATGTAAGCAGTGTGGGCAGGCACCGGAAGACTACGTGGACTTAGCAGTGCACACAGAGCTAATGGGCACTTTCTGGGGATGATCTGCCATGATGTTATGTTTCAAAAGCACACATTAGAGTAGGTGGTTCTTCTGAAGGTGAAATGCCCTTCTCTGATACCAGACTCGTACTTATTCTATATCGTGACATCAGAACATTTTGAAAGCCACTATTTGTAAAATAAGCTGCCCCTGTAATAAAAAGACTGCTTCATATGATTGTTTTGGTGTAAGTTAGTACTGATTTATTCTTCAGAAACCTGTTGGACCTGAGTATTCACCTGTAAGGTGAAACCAAATTGCAGGTTTGGTTCTTGAGGGATCCAGGCAGAGGCACGCCTTACAGGTGAACTGGGTGGGTACGCTGACCCTGCCAACGTCACTGTGAGGGATTTAGCTGCCTCCTTAGAGACGTGTGCGCTAAACTAGACTGAACAGATGGCCCTTAAACATTTGTCTTTGACAATTTTTGCTTCGCTATTCCACTGAATTTAAAAAAAAACAAACAACACTTGAGGGCCTGTGTCTGATGTGCTGCTCCAGATGCAAGGGGGAATTATGAGTAAATAACACACCTTCCCTACTTTAAAATAACTCACTGGCTAGAGGGCAAGACACAAAGTGAGTGCCCACATCACCGTCCTGCAGACAACAGGGTCAGTGTTAGTGAAGGGAGGCCGAGTGTGCCCTGGGAGCACAGGAGAGGGGTGACGTCTGCAGAACGCCTGGCCAGCACTGACACTCCAGCCCTCTCTGCCCCTGGCCTCAAGCAGCCCGACAGCTCCTCAGGAACCTCTGCACTGCCCCAGGTCTAGAATGAGCTAGGAACTTACTCAGCAATACGATGTGGAAGTGATCAATCCTAACTAGAAGGCTTCATGGTAGAGGTGGCATTTGCATTGATTCATATAAGTAGTAGGTTACTGAAAACAGTTTTTACTAATTACCGCCAAAAATCTTCTTATAGTGTAAATTACAGAAGCAGCATAAACTATACTTTTTATAATGTGCATTAGAAACGCTTTTATACCCACCCACACTATTCTCAAGAATGAGCACTGCAACAAGTATTAGTGATGTATTAGATTTTTGTGGGAGGAAATGGGGGAGATGTTCTAGGTAGAGAAGCTTGCAAGAATAATGGCGTAAAGGCCGACGGCGTGGCTGGGCTACGGGGGGTGGCCTGATCTGGGCGAGTGTGTGCTGGCTGGATTCTGGATGGAAGGGCGGAGGTGGTCCAGGTGGACCCTGAATGCCACACTCAGGAGTTTGTTTCACTCCAGTCTAGACCGCAGTTGCCAACAGTGTGTAAGACAGACAGAGGGAAGGGGCCAAGTTGGAGGCTGTTCCAGTAGTACAAGGAGAGAGAAGACAAGGGTCTCTTCCAGGCTCCTGTTGCCTGGGAGGGAAATGATGCTTCACAGGGAGAACTGAGGGGCTGATGAGGCACGCAGCTGAGCCAGGGGCCAGCTGCAAAGATCAGCGACCAAGTCACACCAGCCATTGGGACAATCCATTTAGCAGGGTGGGGCAGGCAGCGGGAAGGGCAGGTCTGTGGGGCAAGTTTAATTCTCGACTCTGAGGATGTGGGACCACTGCAGTAGTCTTGGGGAGACAGCCTCTTTGTCCACCTGTCTGTCCCTCTCTCCTGCCCCACTCTTTCCCATCTGGTGATACTGCCTCGTGCATGTCACCACTTGGAGGGGGCAGTGCAGGCCCCAACTCATTTTTATGTATTTGCCCTGCATGAACTAGAAGGCTCAGAAATGTGGGTTAAACCAGCTTATGCATCACACCTCTTTGCCTAATGCAAGTTCTCCTCTGATGCAAATGCAGACATCTATTGAAGGTGGCGACAAAGCCCCCTGTCAATGGAAAGGCCACAGGATAACTTCAAGGGTGAATTCTCATTTCCCACTGCTCATTCAGCTGCTTTGGTGACACAGGTGTGCAAGAACAACAGTCACCGTCTATCAGTCATGACTATGTGAGGCGAGCAGGGAATGCCTGAACAACGTCCAAACACTCCAATCTCTGTTACCCTCAGATAGTCAAAGAGGAAGTGTCACCATTTCCTTGAAGCTTGGTGTTTGTCACAGCCTTCAAGGAAGCTGGGGATACCTTGAAGATGGGGAAAATACCACCCAGAATTCAAAGTGATAACTCTTTGAAGGGTCAATGGTGGGAATGAAAAAATGCTTCCTAGCATTTTAGAATGCCTTGTACCATGGGAAGAACCAGTCTATGATCCTGGATGTGTACTTGGTCAAGTCTGCACTTACAGAAGCATTTGGAGAATTTTAAAGCATCCTTTTCTTTAAAGAAGAAGACAGAAGAAGTTCAGTGGAATAACATGGTACGTGAATGCAATACATTTTAGACCAAAAAATACCAAAAAATATTCATGTGTGGTAACAGTAACAGTCTCTTCAAGCGCTCAAAATTACCAGACAAAACTAACTCATTTGCAAGCTGAATGGAAGACAAACATTATCTTCTTTAATACCTAGCTACACCCCTTCTAGACAATTTGCCTCTTGCATAAACAGAGACACAGTCGTCAAAAACAGGTTAAAAACTGGGTAACAATAAATGACCCAAGAATTAATTAACTAAATAGGAGACTGGGGTAAACACAGGTAAAATGATCATATCAAAATAAAAGACAAGAAACATGATTAAATTAGGCTTCAAAAGACCCGTGAGAAACTCATAAAAGGCATAATATGCACTTACCTGGATTTTATTCTTTCATGATTTAATTTCTAATTTTATTCACTACCATCTGATAATTGCACGAAACACTTATTTTAACCATGGGCAATTTAAACTATTTTAATTTTTATTTCAAGGCCATGAGACAAAGGAACCTATTTATTGCCTGAGGGGATTTTTTTTTAACAAAAATTAAGACTTAATCTTTCATGTTTTAAAGCCAAGACTGTTTAAAATCATTTATAATAATGCTGTAGGGAGACTTTTCCTGGGTATGCAAAATTGAAATGATAAATTTACAATTATTAAAAAAATTAACAGTTTGGGGGATTGAATTGTCCCTTTGCTTTCCAGATGAATTTGTCTGAAGCTTAAGAGACACGCTTAAAAACAGGGTAAACCCCAGGCCTGTGGAGGAGAGATGGGATGAGGCTTCCCTTCAACTCACAGGGCAAGTGAACTGGCTCATGGTCCAAATAGTATGCCCAGTTTATTATTATTTAAAAAGTAAATAATGGCAATGGCCTTGGGAATGGCTTTCAACCCCTTTTATCTTCTAGGAAACTGCCTTGATGAAGTGGAGATTCATGAATTCTACTAACCACATTTTCTGTGACTTTCAAAAAGTCCCTGATGGAAATTAGACAAATAATTTACTTTCACTTAAACATCAGATTTTTTAGTTACACTTAAGAAAAATAATTGAAATGTAGATTTCAATCATTGCTGCTGCTACACTTTAGGATTCTAATAAAATACTTTCAGTTATTATGCAAAGCATTCCTCAGTAGAGAAGAGAAAAATCGCTCTCAGTGACACCTAAGCGAGCGGCGTGTTCTGAAGGGCAAGAAGCCTCTTACAGAGCAGTCAAGGCAAGGACGCTGCGCTGG
The DNA here is from genome assembly GCF_000001405.40 of Homo sapiens. Classification (NCBI taxonomy): domain Eukaryota; kingdom Metazoa; phylum Chordata; class Mammalia; order Primates; family Hominidae; genus Homo; species Homo sapiens. Next base: position 11,290,694 of record NC_000010.11, on the reverse strand, counting down.
TGTGGTTTTGACTCCAGCAGGGAGGAAGGCTCATCCCACAACACATTTTCCTCCACTGCAGTCTCAGGAAGAAATTGAAAATAGTCACATACATTTAAAATTCCTTTCCGACTAACACCTAGGCCGTCGCCCTAGACCGTCTGAGTGGCCCACATTTTTTTTTTTTTTTTAGACGGAGTCTCGCTCGTCGCCCAGGCTGGAGTGCAGTGGCATGATCTCCAGTAGCCCACATTTTAAGAAGGTTGCAACAAGCTCACACTCCTCCCAACGTGGGCTGGAACGGACGCGGTCCACCACAGAGCCCCCACTCCGCTCTCCCCCACCCACTGGCTCTGTCCTCTGCCTCAACACGCGCCATGGCTTCCGTCACGGAACTCAGGTCTCTGCTCAAAGGTCACCTTTTGAGAGAGGGGTCACCTCCTCCAGTCCCCTTTCCCCTTGTTCAGTGGGATTCTGTCACAGATCTGACACTCATTGCTTTGCTTCTTGTCCAAGTCCCTGAAGGACTGAAGGACTCCCGAAGGTAGGCAGCACATCTGTCCTGCTCACACCACAAAGCGCTTTTGGGATATGATTTTTGAGTTATCTTAGCTACACCAATCAGCCGACAGCTGCTTCTGCATTTGGCTTCTTAAACTGTCAAGCCTCCTTTGGACTGAAGATGCTCCAAAATGCATTCACAATACTCAGTGCTATTTTGGGGTAATCAAAGTGCTCACAGGGGAGAAAAAAAATCCCTCTTAAGAAAATACATTTTAATCTGATTTGTGAAATCTAAGTTGGGAGGGTCTAATTTTCATGTTTTTAAAAAAATGACTTATTTTTATGAAGGGGAAATCTATCATGTTAAAAATGTTTATTTCTCAAAAGGGATCGTTACAGGATTTACTTAAGTAAGTTGATGTGTTGCACTGAAGCTATCACTTAACTTCCTGAAATTAAGGGTGACAAAGTTGATTTTTCAGGAATAGTGTTTATTATATTAGATAAGGCCCTCATACAGTAACGGTATGTTTTTGAAGACACTGTACACAGTGAAGTCAATACACCTGCCATGCGATCTCAGCACATTACAGGGAAATCCACCAGCTTCTCCTAAACATCTCTCAGACTTCTCCCTCGAAACAATCCCCCAGGTGAAATGTCTTAGATACACAATGTTTTATGCAGAGACAAAGGGCAACTGCTCTTTTGAGAACTGCCAGCTCTAGGAACCTGCCTCATTCCTCCCTCAAGTCAAAAGCCCTAAAACAGCCAGCGTGGAGTGGGCTGTAGTTTTCGATGTGTGTTTCCTGAAGCTATTTTTTCATTAACGTTTTTCCAACACTTAGCTAATCCTTGGGGCGCAGCTGATAGGGGGTCATGGGATTTTGAAAGTTAGAAGGAAGCTTGGAAACTGTCCAGGCCATCTCCTTCATGTAACAGAAAAGGAGGTGAGACCATCTATTGAGGTCTGGAAAACTCAGAGATGGAAAGCCAGTGAAACGTTCGACTTTTTTAAATTAAAAAAAAACAAAACAAAACCTCAAATCACGGTATCTAAGCAACCACATTCTATCTGGCTTGTATGAAAAGACAACTGGCATCTGCTTTTGAACAACAAGGCAACAAAATTTGTGAAGAAAAAAAGACTTTAAATGACACACCCCAGAGCCTGACCAGAAATGAGCAAACATGTTCCTTACTGGACCGTGGATTTTAAAATCAAATGTGATGGATGGAGTTGCTGTGAAATGTGACATGGGAATGACTAGGAATTTTGAAACAGAATTCTTACATTGTCTTATTTTTTGGAAAAGGGCAGGACAAAGAAAGACTAAGAGACGGAGGCTCTTCACAGTGGTAACAACTTAACTAGTGTTGAATGGACTAGTGTTTAAAACAGAGTGAATGTGTGAGAACGGCTTGCACAGTGGATTCTCACTGAAAACTTTTTTGCATATTATCCATGGAAAATAAAAGACAAATTCGAACTTTGACCATTTTTAAAAATAAAATAACCCAATGACATAAAGCAGCCCAGTATAGTATCCCGGCTCCATCCTGGACACGTCTAGCCTCACCCTCGCACCTGGAGGCACGGAAACCTACCTGCCACTCCTGCTGCATCACCTGCAAGGGAAGAGCACCCCCCACACTCACCGGGACTCGTGAGGGCTCCCAGGGCGCTGCTCGTGGTAGAGAGAGGGTTTGCATTGGTGCTGGTGGCTGAGGTCTGGGCCGCAGCTGCAGCAGCAGCCAGCGTCGCCAGGTTCTGCAACTGTAAAGCATTCATGCCTGTGGAGGGAAGAGAAAGTTACTTTCAGCAACAGGCCTCACACTTCTACAGTTTCCAAACAAGAGCAGGCTCATCAAATCGTCAGGACACATGATGAGAGCAGACGACCCTGTGCAAGGTCACCTGCCTGGGTGGGAGCTGGGCTCTCCAGCCCTCTCCTCCAAGGCCACCTCTCCTTCAGTTCTCTCTGATGCAATTGCTCTTCCTAGAGACCACATACCCAGAAAGGAGCCTGAATCCCACCCCGTAGTTCTCCCTGGCAGAGCCTGCGCTTCTCCCTCGCTAACCAGTATTCTCAGCCCAAGGCCTTCCTGCCATGCTGTAGAGATAAGTGGAAAAGAGGAGAGATTTCAGTGCTGACTGGCCACAGTAGGGCCTTGTGGACTGGCAGCTTCTATGACATAGCTGCCAAGACATGGTGAGATGTGGCAGCAGCTGGAGGAAGGGCTTCAAGGTAAACTCAGTCCCTCAAAACGAGGTATTTCAGAAGAAACTACATTTTACTGGAAGCTGAACTGGTATGGGTTCTAAGCCTGTTAATCTATTTCTTGACAGTGAATGGCAGCATTAACTGAACCCCACCTTGAAGGGTTGTTGTGCAGATTAAATAAGATGATGAAAGCAAATTACTTTGGCACAACGTTAAGAGCTCAATGAATGTCACCTTTTATTTTTGTTATTGCTATTGCCATTGAACTTCTCTCTCTGGATTCAAGTGTGAACCCTAAAATGTGTCCATAGGGAGTTCAAATTTCATATTTGATGAACACAAGAATGACTGAATAGAAATGGCTGCACCTTAATAGTTTTATTTGTAAAATATTTGTATTTACCTTTTAAAGCGATTTATATTTTAAAAGAGGGACTTTAACTAGAATAAATGTGTGACTCATGAAAATTATGAAAAAAATAGAAATGAAAATTAGCATGAAGATAAGAGTGGGATTAGCTGAGAGATTTGGGGCAACAATCTAGGGGTGGGCTCAGCCCTGGTGTCTACACCGGATAGTTAGTTTAACTATCTTTTCTCCCTGTAGCCCGCTTCCATCTCTCAGTCCAAAGGTTCTCTGAATGGTCAAATTATGTTTCTATGATTCACTTTACCAGAAGACTGCACATGTGAGAAGCATGAAACAATGGTTCTCTCCCTACACAGAGGAACTGAAGATAGAAAGATGGTGGACTTCAGCTTCATTTTACCTTCTTCTCTGGTCTTAAGTCCAGATACTTAATCAATATCTACGGAGCAAATTCAGTCTTCTTTAGGGAGAGTGCCCTGAGAGCTGCTTCCGTAATGTGTGTGTAGGGGCGCTGGTGGAGGGATGAGAGAATGTTCTAGCAACATACATGTGTAAGCCCCCAGCCACGGGCGCAGCTCAGTGCCTGGCTGCTGAGTGCTCTAGACAGCACTCTTCTGCCCTGGCCTCCTCAACCAGGGTGCATTTCCACTTAGAAAAAAGTTCCTCCTGTCTTGGTTGCTAAATGGATTTGCATTTTGTCCAAAGTGATACTCTGTCTTCTTCCAGGAGACATCCAGACCTTTTGGCTTAGGTTGAAAGCCAAGCACCTGCTTTTCAAAACCTACTTATTTCACAGGGATGCTTGAAAGTGGGACAGAAGTATTGTGTAATCCTGTGAATTTCTGCAAGAAAAGGGCAGACTTCTGGCAACCTTGCTTCATCAAGTGAACATAATCAAAAGAAAGCACTCTCTGGTTTTCTCTCGTCAAGGGTCACACAGTGCCATATTCATGAGAACGTGGGTGTTGAGAGGCCCTGGTCTCATTTTTCAGTTTTACTTTAGGAAAATGGAGGAAATATGCAAATTGCCTGGCCCTACTGCAGACCAACATGGCCCCAGCAAGGGGCTGTTTCCTACAAACACATGAATGCATGTTTGACTTGAGTGTGAGGGAGCACCAAGGCTGTGCGAGGTCTTGCAAGGAATGAGGTACATTCACGCAGGTCTGTCCATGCCCTCTGGGCTCTCTCATGATGTGTGCTTCCTCTAACGTGAACCATGACCAGACCACACCACCAACATATGGCTGAGCACACAAGAACAGGGCTTAGCACCAAAATCAAAGCCTACAATATGCATATGGCACCGATTAATGACAGGCAGAGCCACCATTCTAGGCTTAGGCCAGCGGGTCCCCCTCCAGGACATATATGACCCTCCCAGGTAGGAGCCTCAGTGATGGAGCTGTGTTGATGGCCTGGCTCAGCTGGCCCACTTGGGTCAGAGACATGAGGTCCCTGGCCAAGGCCTCACAGCCATGGAGGAGACCCTCCTGGGCCTTGGCAGAGCCTTCTGCCCCATCCCATAGCCTCCTCCTAAGGAGACAGGGTTTACATTTAATGCACACGCTTTCTCTGTTAGCTGCAAATTTCTTTATCTGTTTGTTTATAACTCTTTCGTGGCTCTCATCATACCCTATGTTGACATTATTTATATGTATTTCTTGCCCTCCCAACCAGATACCAAGTTCCTTTAGGACAAAAATTATGTCTTACTCATTTTCAAGTCCATGTAAAAACACACACACACACACACACACACACACACACACACACACACACACACACACCAATATATATAGTAGGTGATGAGCAAATCTATGTAAGACAAACAAACAGGGTAACAGACAAGTTTGACATTTACATAAATTGCTCTGAAGAGTATTGTCTGTACAGAGCTAGCCAAGGTTTTAGTTTTCCCCATTATTTATTAGTTCTTTGGTATTTACAACAGCATCAAATATTGGCTGTTTCCTCTCAATCATTAACTAATCCACTGTACAGATACTTACTAGGGCCCATGTTTAGTCCTTCTCTCACCCACTGACATTCACTAAAGGTCCTGGAACTGAGCTGACAGCACTCAGGTTCTCTCCACTGCCCGCTCCTTTAGGATCCAGGGCTAAGGGCCTGGGTGTCCTCCTCTTCATTTCTCCTCCACACACTTTACCATCCAACAGTTTCTGACATTCTCCTAAGCCTTTCCCTGCTGCCGCCTGGAAAGTCCAGGGGGAGTGGCTGAGTCTCTGAGGCACCACACGGGGGCATAGCTAACACTGCTCAACAGCCAGACTGCAAGGAAAGGAAAAACTATGAGTCAAGGAAGCTGAGATGAAGAGTGGAAAGGAGAGGACACTGTGATCCCCAGCATCTGAGGGATGTGAGGACAAAAGGAGAGAAGAAGAGTTAGTCAGAACCAATCAAGGAGGCGGATCCATATTTGCTCGTCCATCTATCTGCCCATCCATCCATCCAACCATCCATCCATATATCCATCATCCGCCCATCCACCCACCCACCCATCCATCCATCCATCATTCCGCGTAACCACCCAACTATCCATCCATCCACTTAATTATCCATCCACAGATCCACTATCCTCCCACCCATCCGTCATCCACACATCCATCTCTCATCCACACACTCATCCATCCCTCATTGTGGAATAGATGCTCCCACCCATCTATCCATCATCTAACCACCATCCAACCATCCACCCATCCACCCACACATCTACCCAACTATCCATCCATCCACTCACCTATCATCCACCCATCCATCCATTATTCTCCCACCCATCCATCCATCATCCGCCCACCATCCATCCACCATCCATCCATCCACCCACATATCTACCCAACTATCTATCCATCCACCCACCCATCCATCCATTATCCTCTCACCCATCCATCCATCATCCACTCATCCATCATCCACACACTCACACATCCTTCATCAGCACACCCATCCATCCCTCATTGTGGTATGGATCCTCCCACCCATCCATCTATCTATCCATCATTCACCCACCATCCATCCATCATCCACCCACCCCTCCGTCCATCATGCTCCCACTCATCCCTCATCCACCCACCACACACTCATCCCTCATCCCCCACCACACACTCATCCCTCATCCACCCACCACACACTCATCCCTCATCCACCCACCACACACTCATCCATCATCCACCTACCACACAGTCATCCATCATCCACCCACCCCTCCGTCATCCACCCACCACACACTCATCCCTCATCCACTCACCACACACTCATCCATCATCCACCCACCACACACTCATCCCTCAGCCACCCACCACGACACTCATCCATGCATCCACCTACCACACAGTCATCCATCATCCACCCACCCCTCCATCCCTCATCCACCCACCACACACTCATCCCTCACCCACCCACCACGCACTCATCCCTCATCCACCCACCACGCACTCATCCCTCATCCACCCACCACACACTCATCCATCATCCACCTACCACACAGTCATCCATCATCCACCCACTCCTCCATCCATCATCCACCCACCACACACTCATCCCTCATCCACTCACCACACACTCATCCATCATCCACCCACCACACACTCATCCCTCATCCACTCACCACACACTCATCCGTCATCCACCCACCACACACTCATCCCTCATCCACCCACCACACACTCATCCATCATCCACCTACCACACAGTCATCCATCATCCACCCACCCCTCCATCCATCATCCACCCACCACACACTCATCCCTCATCCACTCCATCCATCATCCACCCACCATCCACCCATCCACTCATCATCTACCCCACATCCATCTATGATCTGGCACTGATTAATGACAAGCAGAGCCACCATTCTAGGCTCAGGCCAGGGAGTCCCCCTCCAGGACATATTTGACCCACCCATCCATCCATCCATCATCCACCCACCCATTATCCACCCATCGTCCATCAACCATGCATCCACCCACCCACCCATCCATCATTCAGCCCCCATCCATCATCTAGTCACCCATCCATCTACCCACCCACCCATCATCCACCCATCTATCCATTCATCATCCATCCATTATCACCCATCCATCCATTATCCACCCACTCACTCACCCATCATCTACTCACCCATCCATCTATCTACCCATCATCCATCCATCCAACCATCCAGTAATTACTGAGTGGCCATGATGGGCTAGACCCTGTGCAACACACTGAGGATAAAGTAGAAAACATGATAGTCTGTGTACCCGAGCAGATTGCTGGATATCAGAGCAGGGAGATGTCAGGGAGTGGGGAAGAAATCCCACCAGTTCATCAGTTTCTTGAAATAGGCCCAGATTCAGAATGAAATCCTCCCTGAAGTCTTTGATTCGATGGGGATGGTAGAGAAGCACAGGAAAGCAAAGCACAGCCCAGCTGAGAAGCTGCAAGAGATGTCATCCCTTCCAGCCTGTCCCTCTCCTAGTCCTTGTGTGCTGACCCATGAGGCTTTCATGGTCCTCCCAACTCTTATTTTCAGAAGTGCGTGCTCATAAGCCAGGTGTGGTAGCGTGTGCCTATAGTTCCAGCTACTCAGGAGGCTGAGGCTAAAGGATCGCTTGGGCCCAGGAGTTCAAGTCCAGCCTGGGCAACAGAGTGAGACCCCATGTCTTAAAGAGAAAAGAAGTTAAGTGCTTGTACACCAGAGGTGAGGCAGGGCCTCACGTTTCTTGGAACACAAGCTCCACTGGTGACACCAGGGATAACAGCAGCAATCACCACCACCTCCCGAAGGCAGCGCAGGCTGGTCAGCAAGAGCTCAGGTCCTGCTCTCACATGACCCGGGCTGAAAGCTGGCTCTGCCTCACTTACTGGCAGCCTGTTACCTGGAGCAAGCTCGTTACCTGTTTGCACCTTGGGGTTTTCAAGTGTAAAGTGCGACTGAAGTAGAACTCACCTCTTGAGGATTAAGAGATTAAATGGGTCAACACATAGAAAGCTCAAACAATGCCTAGTGCAGAGTTAAGCTCAAAAAAGAAGCTCTCAGACTAATAACTGCAATAATACTGTCCTAAACGACAATGACAGCAGAAGCAAGAACAAAGCGCGTGCCAGGCAAGCTCCTCAGTGCCTTACCCGTGCTCTGCTACTAGGGTTCCTAACACATCCACGTGGTGTGGGCATTGTGACTCTCCTACATGTTACAGAGGAAACGGGCATGAAGAGGTGAAAACACCATGAGCCATTCTCCAAGGGCCACTCCCTGAGAGAGCCCCGCCCCTTCCCTGGGTGCCTGTCCTCTCCCTGCCAGCCTGGCCTACCCACGGGCTGCCCTCTGCCCTCTCGGTCCCCATCTGGAGCTGTTCTGACCTCTTCCTTCTCCTCCTGTGCATTGGTATCCATTTCCTTCCTTAAACTTTGCATCTGAGAGAAGTTTAGAAGGGATAGGGAGGGAGGGATAGGGAGGGACGGATGGAGGGGAGGAAGAGGAAGGAAAGGGCTGGTCCAGCATAGGGTTTCGAAAGGCAATGTGACAGGGGCCCAGAAGTTAACTCTACCCCCCAGGTCCCCATATCCACTGGGAGTGGCCTTGCTCGCCCCACCACAACAGTATGAACAGATGTGAGAGCTGGGGCGGATTCCAGTCTAGCGCTGCTTCACCATGAAGTGCCGCTCCCTGCCCCAGGGTCCAAGAACATTGGGGCCAGTACGAATTTTGTGCAACTCGCCTGAATGCCAGAGGTCTGGGAATGAACTTGTGATCGTGTCTTCATTTGTAACTAAGAACTAGGTTAACCAGTTAACCACTAACTACTTAACTATGTACTACGTTTTGCTCTCTCAATCAATTTGGCAATTAACATACATATATATTTTTTGAGACAGGGTCTTGCTCCGTCACCGGGCTGGAGTGAAATTATGGCTCACTGCAGCCATCATCTCCCAGGCTCAAGCGATCCTCCTACCTCAGCCTCCTGAGTAGCTGGGACTACAGGCGCTTGCCACCACACCCAGCTAACTTTTGTAGGAAAGGGGTTTTGCTGTGTTGCTCAGGCTGGTCGGGAACTCCGGGGCTCAAGTGATCCTTGCCTGCTTCTGCCTCCCAAAGTGCTGGGACTACAAGTGTGAGCCGCCACACCTGGCCTAGTTTCTTAACGTGATTTCCTTCTGCATCCATCCCCAGAATCCCAGATACCACAAACCACTGGCTCTAGCTGCTTCAGTGACCAGACAGACCCTCGTCCGCCGCTGCCTCAGTGCTCTTCGTCGTGTTCTTCATCTACCCCACGTCAGTCCCCTGAACTTGGTGCTTCTGAGGCAGAGGTCCCTGACAGGGTTCAGGGTCTCCACAAACTCTGACATTTTATGAAAAAGTATGTGTGTGATGTGCATGCAAAATGTGTTTGGTGACAGCTCCTAAAAAGCTGAAGAACTTCTGACCTCTTTTGACAATCTGAAAGAGATACAAGTGGTAGTGGAAAATCACTGCATGACAGCCTGGGGGTGGGGCAGTGACTTGGGCCATCAGGAAGAAATGAGAGCTGAGGAGTGAGGACACGGAGAAGAGGGAGGATGAAGACAGTGCCTCCTCCCATTCTGAACACACACACACACACACACACACACACACACGCACACAGGCATGCACACGCACGCCAGCATCAGAAGCAGCCAGGCGAGCCCGAGCTCCTCCATTCTTAGCTACCTTCCTGGGCACAGGTGTCAATGGGGAAGGACCCAGTGGAGGCTGGCGCCAGGAAGCCCTAGAGAGCAGCCCTTCAGAGCCCTAGGACCTCCCCTGCCTCTTGGGCATCTCACTCCAACCAGGACTGAGGCTGGAGGGCAGTGAGGGCACCGTTTCCCCCACCCAGAGCGGCCTCTGTCCACTCAGCCAGGCAGAGGCCGTGGCCCATGTGTCCTCTGTCCATCCTGCCCCATGGACATCCCTGCACCTACCGATCTTCTAGGTGCTACTGACCATCTCATGCTCTGTCACACCACAGTAATAACCCGGGGCGAGAAGAGCGTGGGGACTGTCTTGGCCCCAGTGTTCCTGGGCCCTTCCCTGGCAACGATGCACGTCCCTGGTGGCTGATGTCTTGGCTCCTCCCACCACAGATGGATCCACAGCCACAGCGCCATCACCCGGAACGTGGACATCGCACCTGCCTGCCTTCCCCTCCTATGCGGGGGAGAAACGGTTTTGGGGAAAGGCACTGGCCTGATGTGCGGACACCAGCCAGGGCATCTGGGTGAGGACAGAGGTTCCCTCTCCCTTCTTAGCCGGACTAGGCTTCTCGGGCACAGGTGTCAGGCGCAGGCCTGCTCCTGGATGGGGCGCGGGGCCTCTCCTGCAACTCCCCTTATTCCTCCCCAGAACTAACAGCGGGCTTCACTTCCGCTCATCCGGAAGTCCTCTTTCTGGTTCCCCTCTGTCGCTCTCTCTTTTCTGAGGTATGTGGGTGCCCCGTCCTTTCCCCATCTCAGCCCCTCTCCCAGGCGCCTCCTCAGTCTGCACCCCAAGTCACACTTTATCCCACACGCTCATCCTGAAAGGGCACCAGACCGAGAGGCAAGGGCGCGTGCTTGGCAAACGGTTCCTTTCCGAGAAGAAAAACTGCATTTGACTTCATGAAGCACTCTGCTCAGATGGGCACCTCTCGAACCAGGGGCAATAAACTGGGTGACTGAACATGCAAAACATTTCAGTAAGTTTTAGGAACTCAACGATGGGCTAAGAAGATGGCAAAGAAAGTTGAGAATACAGGGATTCAACTTTCATTCAATACTTGGGGAAAAATATCCTTCTCAAAACGAAGAAATTATGTACCAAACAGATGCGCAATATGCCTACTTGAAACTTAAGATTTAAAAAAAATTATTTATAAGGAGAAGGGCATGAAAATTTAATTTAATGTTCACCTTAGGTAATTTTGTGTCTTATTGTTCATAGCAATTACCATAAATCTGCATATCAATAAGCATGAACAGATGTCAGTTGTTACAAGTGCTTGCCAATCAGGTCTGTTAAAAAGTGACAGATGGGTGGTTATAGAACGTTCTCATAAGGCCTGCAGTGTGGACTGCTGGAGACTCAGCTTGGGGAGGAACCAAGTTCTGCGTGAGTCTTTGTGGATGTACCAAGCACACTTCACCACTCCGGGAGCGCCTCCAATTCGACATTCTCAGACCTCCGATACACTGTTTTTGCAAATGTCTCCCTCCTCTCCACTCGTGCTAGACACCAAGACAGTCTTCTAAGAGAACAGATCTCAAGTTGATAAATGAAGAGCTGCTTCATGGTTTTAAGCAAATATTTGCACTCCATAATGTTATTGTTACCTTCAAAACTTAGACCAGATATTCTGGAAGGGAATTACTACTTGCTTTACTCAGAATCAGAATTGAAACGAAGCAGTTTCCTCCCGTTCATCAAAAGACACTTCCGCCGCAGCTTCAGAACCTCTGGAACTGGTTTAGTAACAATTCTTTATCCTAGAAAAAAATCCCCCCTAAAAAGAAAAACTCACTCATGATAAACTTGAGATGTTTTCCAGGATGAAGGGAGGCAGCTTTCCTGTTACCACCTCTGAAGTGCTTCCTAACAGTGTGGGGGCCGTGAAACACACCTCAAGGGGCTGAGACACAGAGCACGGTTTGCCAGCCTGGGTTTGCATCAGTGAGCCGGACCTGAAGCTTGGTCCTGCCACCTACTAGCTTAGTGCCTTTGGACAAGTCTGCTCATCTCTCTAAGCCTCAGTTGCCCGGCCATGCGGTGGGCTAACTTAGAGTCCCTACTTCATCAGGTTGTTGTGATATTTGGGAATTCTATACCCTAATCCTTGTTAGGTCATTGACTAGTGCTGTGGTCTCACATTACTCACTGAACCTTTTCATCTTCCCTTTTTCCAACCGTAATGTAGTAACAAAGTGGTAGTCACGTCCTTAGCTTGCTATGAGGACAGCTGCATGATTTTTAAAAGGAGCTTTGTTAAAAACAAAATGGTAAAACACTACCCCTTGTTTTTCTGTTATATGATCTTCTGAGTTGATAGTTGTTATAAACAAATTAAAGGCAGAGAAGACACTTTCTCTTACTCCCTTTCTCTTTCAAGAAAAATCCCAGCTCTCAGCCCAAACTCAGACCCCAAGTTTCTGAGATTTCTGAAATTCACTGAACAAATATCACCGCTGAGAGAGAAATGGACAAGTTTTCATTAGAAGTTTTAAGAGGGAAAATAAAAACCAACCAACTCCAAGGAGGCACAAAAAGTAGATATAAAAGCCGTCAATTTATAAAGGTATGTTCCTAATCCATTTTCTGCTTCTAAATTCCATATTTCATAAAGGTTCTCTTGGATAAAAACCATAAAGCACACTTGAAGTTATTTTTAGTTTGAAGGGAAAATGGTAAGATTTTTTGGGAAAGGAAGTATAGCTGACGTCTCATTCAATTTTATACATGCAACTACTTAGGATCCAGTCGTCTAAAATTTCTCTTTCTTTTTTTTGGTTTTATTTTCTCCTGAAGCTGAAAATGTTTCACCCATATAAATGTGGCATTTTAGACTCTAGCTATAAACCTCATCGACCAGTATGTTTTCAGAGTTGTTCACAACAAAATATTATTCGTTTCTAAAATCAGTTTTCACTTTTTGGTGATAGTATTCCAGGCTGGACTGCTTGAATTTTAGATGCAGAGATCATTTTATATATATCTGTCAATGTAATACAGAAAAATTACATGTGAATTGTTTATGTGCCCCCTCTACGTAGGACACAGTATCAATCACTCAATAAGCACTGTAACATCAGGTGGTGTTTGGGATAAATAACCTCTCGGGTTTCTTCAATCCCACTACCATATGCTTTCTACTGTATTTGTTATGTTTTATGTTATACAAACTATCTCCAAATCCTCAACAACTCATTTGTAAAGATACTATCATTAGTTTAATGTTCCTTTGGTTTATACATATTGCTGAAGTCATATTTCTTAATTTAAAAACCAGGCATTTAACTTAAGCTCCACTGGGGATTTATGTCTGTTGAGTTAGAAATCTGTTCACTCATCCACTCGAGGATACTCATGAGCAGCTCTTAGAGGGGTGAGAGCTGAGTCTATCAGCCACGGGGCCATGCTCTCCTGGAGCACGGAAGAGTATCCACAGAGTATCCTGAAGCATCCAGGGAGGTGAGGGCAGAGGGAAGGGAGGAAAGGGCTCTGGGGAATTCGGGAGAGAGGCGCCCCTCTCACATTCGGGGAAGCTGGGAAAGTTTCTCCTAGGAAGGAACCTCTATCGCCCATTCACCATGGTCACTCCATAACATGTGCACAGATTGATGGCAAGGACAGAGTTAAGCCCTACTTTTGGGACAAGACAAGAGCGTAGGAGAGGCCATATAAACTTTTCTTCATTGGTGGAGAAAGTACTCCAAGCCATAATACTTCAAATACGTAGGAAGAGGAGACCTGACGATCCCTATAAATGCAAGGTATCCTTCACAGAGCCCGACAGCTACACCTTGAAGACTGTGAATATTCCAAATACTCTGAATACTCCAGATGATGGTAGGGAATGGCCTGTCCAGCATTTGATTTCCTAGCCTGTGAGGACTTAGTGTGCTGAATTTCACACATTGAGGATTCAAGAAATGGATAATTTGGGAGGCTCAGAGCACATACAGATTGCCTTTAAATTAGCCATCTGCTCCTCGGCACCTTGTAAGGTGACTTCCCAGATACCCTCAGTTTTCAAATGAGCACGCAGAGCGTGCAGGGGCTGGCATCCTGACCTGTGGCTGGTGCGGCACAGGCACACACATCCTAATGAAAGATGACAGGGCACGCTGTCCACCCGGGACAGCACGCTCGGCAGCAGCCTCAGGACCCAGTGACCTTCTCTGCATAATCCAACTGTGGGGGTAGGAAAGCCTGAGGCCACCTCTAAGGAAAGCCCCTAATTTCAGATCCTGGTGAGTCCATACTATGCGAGAAAAGCAAATCTCCCGTGGGCTGAAAGTGTGACAAATCTTAGCATTTATTTTAGAGCTTGCAATCAGGAGGTTTTCTCTTTTAAAACACAGAAAATCCCCTGAATATTTTACTTCTCTCTCTCCAGCTCCTTTCATAGAATTAAAAATAAATTAACCATTCAATGTGATTCTTAGCTCCAAGGCCAGCTTCCCAAACCATATTCGTAAAGATGCTGCTGAATGATTTAACTATCAAGTTATTCCTATTTCTAATAATCCAAAAGCTATGTTACAACGGAACCAGGTGGCAGTGCCAATGGATTTAAAGCCCAACGAGGAATTCAGCAGTATTTTTACTACAGGCCAAGGAAGACCATCAGCTGATGAGCTTCCAGGAGCCTCGGGCCACAACGGCGGGGCTGCCGATCACACACCACACCCAGGGAGAAGCCCCCTGGAAAGTTTTTCCAGATTCATTTGAAGTGAAACAAGAAAAAAAAAATAAACAAACCCCAAGGATACATATTTAAAAAAAGAAACAGAAAGGTAGAAAAAAAGGAGTTTTCATGATGACAACGAAAAAACGCTTCATTCTGCACATGTAGGTTTCATTGCACTGATTCAGGGTGTCCTTGATTAACACAAACCGTGCTTGGTTCTAATATGCCAAAAACCTGTTCTCCTTGCTCTCTCCCCCCACCTTTTTGGAATGAAACAAGGAAAAGGCTCTCTGACCGTTCCTCACGGCAGGTTAATGGGCACCTGTGTTCTGATTTATTGCGCTCGCTGCCTTCCCTGGCCCCGTGTTAGGTAGGGAAATCGGCACGGAAGGTGGCACGGCAGGAGTGACCTTTCGCTAATCACCACACCTCAGTTACTACTGGCGCAGCTCATTAGAAGAAGGAATCCTTCAACGAGCTGGCTTTCAAATACAGTCACACTTTGATTTTCTCCAGAACAAAGATTCCACTTTCACATAAAAGCTTCTGATGCATGATTCTGTCAACTGGGGCACTACGGTAAAAAGGCACCCTGTTAATTGTCTGTCGTTATCAAGGGGCTGCAAACTGCATCAAAGATAGGCCTGCAATCCTGGCTTTCATTACGGAGGTCAGAACATTTTTATTGACTGTCTATTATTAAAATTTTAGAGGGCTGTCAATCATTTGGCTGCCCTAGATATAGGAATCTGGATGGAAAGCCCCCAGTAATCAATCTTATTTATAAAAACAACAAATGACTAGAGAGTCGTTGATATAATCATTTGTTGATATAGATGCCAATCAGGATTTCTCAGCCCCTTCATTCTATAGCGGTCATGCACAGCGAAGGTGGGTAGGTAACCTAAGAAATAACAGAGACACTTCAGAGCAGGCGGTTCCAACGTTAACACCAAAGACAGAAAGCTAACAAGTCTGATCATCATTCTTGGTTCTCTTCCCCTGCTTCTTGTCTTTGCCCTCGGAACCAACCCCAAATTCTGACAATAGCACGGTCAAAAGGAGAGGCGTGCTTCCTGACTTACCTGCCATTTGTTGAATGCCGCTGAACGCACCCAGGTTGCTGGAGGAGGTGGCCTGCTGCAGGAGCTGCGGATGAACACACAAGGGCAAAGTGGAGACGGTGAGAGCAAAGTAACTCCCTCATTAAACTGGGGACAAATTCAGTTTACTCTGCATTTCCAGGGTTGGTTGCTACTCCCTACTGATGGACTGAAGGTCCCCAGAGCTGGGGCTGTAAATCCATATTCATGTCCAATCTCTATTAAGAAACATAAACACTGGGGAAACTCACTAACACTGCTGCCTTAAAACAATTAATCAATTTACTCTTTTTAACAACCAGGTGTTAGATCTATTGAAACCAACATAGCGTGACTAATTATCTCTCTCTGTAGTCTAGCAGTTACCGTAACTCATCTCTGTCAATCAGGGTCCATTCCCTCCCTCTCTTCTACTTTCCAGCACCGTTCAGCTTTCTTCATCTTTCATCAGAAGCACATTGGTTCACTGACTCTGGTGCCAACATAAAGATCATCATGGTAACTACAAACATGAATGCATCTATTCACAGCCGTACAGCTGCAGCCACCACTACATGACCAAGCAAATGGGCAGCCATTTTAAAAGTCCTCACTGCAGAGTGAAACATACAGCTTGTCAAAACTCACAACTATCTGGTGCTATGTACATCGAAGTCACGCGTTGTAAATGTCAATCTTCAAAAACATTAATATACCTATGAGAAAGTCTGCATTTTCCACTAGTGCTTTCAGGGCTGCATTTTTCCTGCCATGCAGAATGAGTGGGTGCCACAAGATAAAGGCATGGAGCCCCTGGGGTGCTGCTGGACTTGTCCAACTCAGCTGAACCGCAGCTTAACTTAGGTGAAAGACTGAGTGTTGGGCTGAACTTATGGATCTTCTTTTTGGTAAGGGAGACCAGTACAGATGCAGTTAGCAGTGTGGGCAAGCAGATAGTTTTCTCCTATATTCAAATGTACATGGATACCAGAAACACAGATTTACCACATTTATTTTATTACTGAAATATTGTCACATTGTGTGCTCAGGAGGAACAAGATTAATTCACTATTTTAAAAACAGCTTTCAGAGCCAGGTGCAGTGGCTCACATCTGTAATCCCAGGACTTTGGGAGGCCAAGGTGGGGGGGGGGGGTGGGGATCACTTGAGGTTAGGAGTTCGAGACCAGCCTGGCCAACATGGCAAAACCCCCATCTCTAGTTAAATTACAAAAATTAGCCGGGTGTGGTGGCACATGCCTGTAATCTCAGCTTCTTAGGAGGCTGAGGCATGAGAATTGCTTGAGCCTGGGAGATGGAGGCTGCAGTGAGCAGAGATGGTGCCACAGCACTCCAACCTGGGCAACAGAGCAAGACTCTGTCTCAAAAAAAACAAAAAAACAAAAAAACAAAACTTTCAGAATTTATTTGGGGCTCGTGAAACAATCCAGAACACCGTTCCTCTGGGGAAGTCCAGGTCTTTCCAGTTTGATATGATAAACCCTACACATGGATATGACTCGAAAATGGATCTCAATTGAGGTAACAGCGCCAAGCAGTGTGGAACTATCAGTGGCTGATTCCAGCAGTCCCCAACCTTTTTGGCACCGGGGAAAGAAGTTTCGTGGAAGACAATTTTCCCACCAGACCAGGGGTTGAGGGGAAGGTTTTGAGATGAAACTGCTCCACCTCAGTTCATCGGGAATTAGATTCTCATAAGGAGCACGCAACCTAGACCCTTCAGCATGTGCAGTTTAGACCAGGTTCGTGCTCCTAGGAGATTCCAAGGCTGCCGCTGATCTGACGGGAGGTGGGGCTCAGGCAGTAACGCTCTCTCGCCTGCCGCTCCTCTCCTGCTGGGCGGTCCGGTTCCTAACAAGCCATGGACCGGTACTGGTACCCAGCCCAGGGGTTGGGGACCCTTGGCTGACTGAAACCCAAGCCTCAGGTACGACGGTATTATGGGACTTCACACTATCAGGTTATACTAAAACCAAGAAAAGTCTGTGTTCAGTCATCCCTCTCCATTCCCTGCCCACACACATACTCTCACGCACACAGAAAGAGGAAGAGAGCGGGGAAGAGGGGGTGGGAAAGCTAGGGACTGCCCACTGTAATAGCAAGGCCTTATTTCGGTTTGATTTGCTGGGTTTCTCATTCTCTTGCGCTTATCAACTGCAACTTCCTCCTCATATTCAATGTTTTTAAATTTTAAAAATTAAGCTAGCCTTGAAGATGTTTAGAGGAGTTAATAGCACCTACTGAGGTAAGTGGAAATACCTGGAGTGTCATTAAACCACCACCCAGGATTATTGCCATGGATAACCAACCTCTGGTGAGCCAGGGTCAGAATCTATCACTCAAGGCAGCTAAGGGCTCTTTCAGAGAAAGGGCTTTTCAGCTGAAAGGGAGTAGGACAAACATGGCCAAGAAAGAATCACCCATGGCAGAGGGAAACGTAGTGAGAACTTCTAAAAACATGTTTCTATAAATCAGGCTGAGATTTCCTCTCCTTCACCTACACAAACAATTTGCAGATGTGGTCCCAGAAACATGTGCCGGAGATTTCTGTGAGCCGTGGGGGCACAGGAGACGTGCTAGAAGACAGAGTGGACACGTGTCTCAGTTTTCAGAAATGGTGGATGGGGGAAGCCGGACTCTTAGAAAGTACAGGAAGGTGAGCGTGATGTCAGCCTCAGACAAAAATTCTGGTACACAGAATTAAACCAATCGACTGTGAGCATCTGAACAGCACACATTTGTGAAAAACAAATCATAGTCAAGCTAGACTCATTTCTCTTTTAAAGCAATTTTTAGACTGATTAGTCAAGAAAATAATAGCAGAGCAAATATAGATTTTAGCAAGACAGCTGACAAAATCTCTCATGGTATCTTCGTGGACAAGGTAGAGAAATGGACAGAAAGTGATGGGAACCTGAGCCAATGCTTTTGCTAGCAGCACAGAGGAAGACAGGAAAAGGATGCTTCTCATTCATTCATCAAATATGTACTGAAGAGCTATTATATACCAGACCCCACTGGGCACTGGGCACTGGGGGTGGGGCAGCTAAAAAGATGAAGGTGACCCGCAGCAGCACCCGGAGTCCTCAAAGAGGCAGTATGGCCAGCCGGCGGGACACGCAGGGCTCAAGTCCCATCAACCACTAGCGGCTGGTTGATTCTGGGTAACGTTACGTAACCTCTTTGAGTCTCCCTTTCCTCATATGTCCGAAAAGCAGGATCATCTCACCTTCCAAGGTGGAATAGGGAGGATCATTTGACACAAAAGCACAACTTCTGCTACAAAGTAAAGCCAATGGGTGACAGGATCACAAGAGGGATAGTTAAAATGTAAAATGACAGAATGAAGACCCAATACACATGGGGTACACACACACACACACACAGAGACACCCTCTCTGAGGCTGGAATAAAAGGCCCAAACTCACAATATGAAATTATATTAATAAATGTGAAGTCCAGCACTTATGTTCCAAAGTGGAAAAATAGGGTAGAAGAGCACAATTTAGCAGTAATTCGAGTAAAAATAAAATCTCTGGAGTACTGGCTGCCTTCCAGCCCGCATCTGCCATGGTTACTACAAACGCCGCTCTCAAGCTCCATTCAGATGCCCTCAAGTCCACACTAGAGGTTACTACTCCGTCCTGTTCAGATCTCGCTCGGGGGACTGTCTTAAATTCTGGTCACTGTGTTTCAATAAAGACACAAAGTGAAATGGAGAGCATGAGTAAACAACCAGAAAGCTCAAGTTCAGACACCAAGAGATGTAAGGAATGGCTGAGAGAACTGGGTCTGCTGGGGCTTGAAATAGAATAGAATTTTGTTGGTTTCAAATAGATGAAGTAAGAAACACTTGATTTCATCAATCTGGTTCCACTGCGAAGAGCCAGGATCATGGAATGGAAGTTCTGGGAGATTTCACCTGAGGTCCTGCTGGCGCAGACCCTGACCTGACAGGGATGAGCCAGCCCAGCGGCCTCCCTCTCGTTACATCATCAGCTGCATGTCTTCTAACTCAGGGCCTTGGGGTGCCTTTCAAAGACGAGTTAGAAGTTTAACCTGTGGGACTTTGCCCCTCCTACATCAGGCAGGAATTCAATTAGTCCTGTTCTTAACAGAATCAATCTAACTTGGAAAAATATCCTGCATAAATGCTGATTTCAATAATTCCCCGAGATTGAAAATGTACTGAAAACAAATGCCTCAGCGTAGGGAGGGGAAAAGTCAGTTTGCAGAGTTTCAGCGGGTGAAGACCACGCCGGCATTGCCCAGCACTTACCGCCAGATACTGTGGGGTCAGTCCGCCCAGCCCTGTCAGGTTCCCCCAGGTGGCAGTGTTGAGCTGCTGCATCTGCTGAGCGAGCTGCTGCTGGAGGCGCCTTTGCTCTTTGTCCTTCTGAGTGTCAGCAAACTTCACCACGATAGGTGAAGAGCAGCCCTGTGGTCAGACACATTGGAAAGTGGAGAGGGGGTTACAGGCTGGCGGAATCCGCTCACGACACTCAGCACCGGAGCTACCTTTCTGCACTAGCCTGGAGCACATGGAATGGGCTGAAATGGTTTAAAACGGTTTGATATTCCTTCTTCTCTGAATAGTACCATCAACAGAAAATTCCAGACACTGCCAGTGGTTTCTTTGGGGGATCTGGTGGTCGGTGAAGTCACTTGCTTTCTTGCTCTGATTAGTAACTGCCTCTCCTTCTCTTCCTGTGTCTTCCTTCAACCTTGCAGGACCTCCTTACAGACAACAGACCTTACCAAGGTTCTTTAATTGAGCTTCTCAGGCTGCTCGTCTTAAAGACAGACTTGGCTTTGTGTGTCTGCCCGTGTCCACAGGTGGACAGAGGACAAAGGGGAGAATCTGTAACGGGAATGGCCATGTCTCTCATTCATTTATCTTTTACTCTTTCCCGTTTTCAGTTATGTATCTGTGAACTTTGGGATTGTGACAATCCTATCGGCCCAGCAATCATAGGGAAAAGGGCTTCATTTTAGTTTTGAGGATGAGGGCAGAAGATATTCAGAGAACACAGGCATTCTCCAAAGTAACCGTTCACGTTTTCAGAGAGGCCTCTTCCCTCAGCACACCTGTGCTACCCGCCATCCCTGGAGCTGGTGCAAACCCAAAAAACAGAAGCACATTCTAGCCAAAGAAGATAGACCGTGAACAGCAGACGGAGGAGTCCACTTGGCTTCTTTCCCTAATGAATCTCACCATTCTAGCAGCTTCTTTCAGTTTTAATTTCCTTTAAAAGGCAAGGAGTAGGGGTAGTGAGAAAGAAATGGCTAAAGGTCACAGAATTCACTACTGAGCTAGATAAAATCATCAGGGATAATAAGGGCCTAACACCCCAAGCACGAAGACCTCCTTTCCAAAGCACCTTTGCAACATTTGCCACTTGGTAAGTAACTCAGCAGAAGTCTCCCCCTCCTTCCCCAGCCTCTTCTCCTCCTTTGTGTGGCTTGCCTACACGTTTCATCACAATTAAAGCTGTTCAATTTTGCTGAGGCATAAAGAAGTAATTCTACCCAAGTGATTAAAATAAAAACTTTTATTGAAACTCAGCATGATAATAGACCTCTCTCTCTCTCCTCTCAGAAATGTTATATTCCTATTTAAATGTGATTCTCTGTTCCATTCCCTTTGGGTCATGTTTCTCTTTTCTGGAAAACAAACGCATTTTTTTCCTTATCACCTTGGGTAGTTACTGGGGATGCAGTTCTGAATACATGAGGATATCATGTCTGTTAATAAAAAAAAGTGAGAAAAATGAGATGAATATTTCAGTGTTAAACTTCCAGCCTACTGGTCTTCAGCTCTGGTAGACAGAGTCATGGTACAGAATGTTAAATGTCAGTAAATTGCACAAAAATAGTATTTCCATCATTTAAAAAAATCTGTAATTCATTTTTTTCTGTATCTGTTCCATGTTTCAGTACTTCACTTAAAAGAGAGCAACATACTTTGAAGATTATGTAGAGAGGGGGTTTTGCATGGAAAAGGGTTGTCATTGTTCCATCAAATTTGTTCCATAACAAATTATAGCATCTCTCCTAACAGAACATCTATTTTTTTCTTCCTTAAATAGTAAAAATGATATAAAAGCAGAAAATTAGGCCAATGATTATAGCTTAAAAATGATTTTTTAAACCATGAAACACAGGGCAGGGATAGAGTGAAGGCAAGTGGAGAAACAGAAGGCACGATATAAAATTAATTGTTTTTAAGACCTTGTTCTTTCAACATTCACATCATTGTGAATTAGGTAATACATCTTGGTTAAAGATGTATGCCAGAGTCCTGGAAATAATATAATTAGTTAAAAATAAACAACGTTAGTCAAACAATTATAATGTGACTGCATAATATATAACCTCCTATTTAAATGCCAATTAAAAAAAAAACCAAACAAGAAATTTAAGTGTCAGAGGACCCCTCTGTGTAAGCATGAATGTCCAGTTTTAAACACCAAATTTGGTTTTCAAATAACAGAGATATTAATAATAAAGGATCAAAGGCTTAGGAATAAATATGCCCCAGTGGTCAAACCAACTCTTTACATGATGGGAACCTACTGTTTCTCAGCCTGGTTCATGCCCAGTTCTGCTTTATGATCCAGAGTCCTCCTTCTACAGGAACACAGGGGAACATGGTCTCCCGTGGGTTGTCCGTGGCTCTCTGAGCATTACTGGGGGGGCTCCAAGGGAAGGAATGGGGATCGTAATGTTTCTAACAGAAACACTGAAGAATTGAGGTTCAAAATTATCTCAGGTGAGACCAATTTGGGTACACATCACTAAATTACAAGAAATAAAAATAAGAATGAAACGCGTATATGGAAGATAATACAAGTAAAGAGTTTTCTTTTTTATTTTTTTGCCCCTAACAGCAGTTTCATTTTAATCTTCAAACTGAATTGAAGATTAAAATGTGGCTGGAAATCAGGCTAATCCACAGGAATGGAGCGGCCTCAGTAAGAGAAAGAGGGAAGCAAAACGCCATCACACGTGTAACTGCGTGTCAGACAAGATTAGCTTCCTAGACATTCCAAATCCTGCTCATTATCGCCTATCATGCCCGATTTTCACCTGAGCTTGCCTTCAGGTAGGGGGTTGTGAGTGTCTTAAAAATGCATTGCACTGAAAGGAAAACACAGTGATTATATAAGATATGTTAGGAATATCAAAGTCAAGATCAATGTTCGAAAAAGACAATAGGCTTTGCAATGCTGGTATCACAAGTCAGAAAAGTACAGTAAACACTGAATGACAATGCCATGCACACTCCTTCCCCCCTTTGCACCCACCTTTTGATTCACTATAAAAAAAGTTGCCCACAAAACATGACGCATAATGATCACTTAGCTCCCAGCATGCTTTGGGAGATGCAGCATTGCAAAAAACAAACAAAAACAAACAAACAAAAAAATAAAACCCCAACAAAATGGGGGGAAAACAGAAGCTCAATCAAGAAAAAAGTTTTTTGCATATTAAATAAAATTGAAAATATCTTTTTTCAAAATATGAAAACACAGCTTCAGATAACACCACAAGGCCACCTCCGGAAAAGATCACCCATACACAAAGATACAGTATACATAATACAGCAGAACATGCACTCCCAAATGATTCTATCAGACAATACAGAAGAAGTAACGGCATATCACTCTTGGAATGCTTTTGTGCAAAATTCTGAAAGGCCATGACCCAAATCACAGACTAAAAGTACAGAGCCATCTATCTAGGTTCGTGGGTGTGCATCCACACCAGGGTGTTTACCTTCCCCTAAAGCCATGATCTCTCATTAGGAGACCACATTTGAGCCTTTATTATGTTTCTTTGTTATTGCTCATCTTTTTAAGGAAGGAGACAAATCCTATTTTCCAAATTTGCACTTTCAATGTTAAATGCAGTGGGAGAAATATTAACTTTCTCCAACATTCTTGATGTAAAAACACAATGCTGTTTGACTAGATGGAAGATAACTTGACCCTGTACAAACGAAAGAACCCTGGGACTTAGCACAGGGCAAGCAGTAATTTGGGGTGGGAGGCTGTTACTGTTTCATCCGCACCGACCCCGGTGTGGGGAATGTATTTGATTCTTTAGGTCCAGAATGACACTTTGCTTAAAGTGCTCACGACTTTACATCACAGGACCCGTGCCACTGCAATAAAAGGCTCAAATAAATAACTGGAGAGCAAGTGGAAGGTTTTCCTAAATGCATTTCAAGTCATTAGGGGAAAAATGCATAGAGAAAGAGAGAGAGAGAGAGAAGGAGAGAATGAGAATGAATGAATGAAAACTGAGATGGTGAAAGTTTACATCTGTGATTGTCATGTGAACAATCCACACAGGAGAGAATTGCTTTACCATTCCCCATCATTTGCACAAAGAAAACAAAGAAAGGGCAGATGATACAGTACCTCCATGGTCTGAGACTGATGCATGGCTTTGATTGCATTCTGTGCCATTGCCCTTGTAGAAAATGTGACAAACGCACAGCCTGTGGGAAACAAGGGGACAGGGAGCAGGAAAGACAAAAAACAACAAGACAAAAGGGTTGGACGCTTGTTAAACCAACACAGTCTACGAGAACTGCCACAAGACGACACTGTTCTCAGTAGTACATAAAAATAAAACAACTTCTCTCTCTGGTTTTATCTTATTTTGCTTTTTATTCACAGTGCTGACTTGCTAATCTGACCAAAGCAGAAAGATTTATTTATTTATTAGTTTATTTTTTAAATGGAAACTAGGGGAGGAAGTTGGGTACTGTTTTTAGCCACCGGGTTTGAAATCAGCAAGATCTAGTTTGCATTTTCTAAAATAAAAAGTTGCTATTTTCCATTTTCTCCTTGACTGATGATCTTTACTGAGGGCATTCACACATCAGGGCTTTGTATTTCAAATTTTATCATTGATTTTTAAAGGGGCAAATAAGAAAATCCTCACACCAAGGGCAAATGAGCAAATAAATTTCAAGAGCTCAAAATGTCAGCAAACAAATGTATCTAAATCCCTTCCAGGTAGTTAAAAAATATATATGTATGTATAAACATAAATTGTTGCTATGCAAATACAAATATACCAAGTCTGTTGCAAACTATTTAGCAATTTTTAATTTTAATAAAAACAAATGCTCCATTACTCCGAGAATATTCAATACTGCTATAAAATGTAAAAAACGTGCATTGTCATTTATTTGCATAAAATCTTCAAGACTTTTGAGACTTGTCAATTTCTGAAACGTATCAAAGATTTGACCTTAGTTCTAACATACACAAGACAATGTACACTTCTGTGAATATCTGCTGGGAGACCAGTGAAACTTTCCGTGCCTGTTTTTTCTTGTGCTGTAAAATAACTAGACTCTGTAGTGCCTGCTCCTGCTTCCTGCACCAGCGTTGGCCACCATGCAGGTCACTGCTCCAACTACATGGCTCATTGCCCTTTTCACTAATAAAAACACTGCCTTCTCAAATTTACATTTTATTCATCATGCACCCTTGGGCTTCTTAGAGAAAAAGACTGTGAAATTAATGCAGATTCAGGCTGATATTATAATAAAACCACAGCACACTAAAAGGTTAGCTAAAGCAACACAGACTTATTTCACTTATGATCTCTAATGACTTTAAAAGTGCATTGATTTTCAGCTTCTTTAGCCTTGCACAGTTTGAACTTAGGTATCAGAGAATAATTTAGTGTTCCACTCAATTTCCTCAAAACATTATTATTACTACTTAAAAGATTTCCAAATGAAGCAGATCTAAACACTGAGAGGCTGACGTCTATTGTCATTTCAGAGTGAATGCATGAAAAGCAGAATTCTGGCATCAACGATGTGAGATTGTTGCCCCTGTGGCCAATAAGCAAAATAGAATATTCTGCATTCAAACAACCAGCAGATTGTTTGGTTTATGTAAATCAATTTGTGAGCCATAAAATATATTTTCTTCTTTTGCTCTGCACGAATACCTGGTGAGATTATCAAGTCAATACTGTAGCGGCACCTTTTAATCCAACAGCAATAAGAGAAAGCAATGCCTGCCCATTACCCTCAAAGCACAACGACATCCAGTCATGAAAATAAGTCAATGCATTTTTTGTTTGCATCATGCTATAATTTTTAACACACAAAAACTCTCAGTACATGAGAAACTCATCTCACATTCGCCTCCTGGCTAAGCTGGCTTGAAGAAGCCTGAATGAAGTTCAGCTCACGGTGAATGCTGAGCTGTCTCATGTGGTTCTCTGACAGCATGGCAGCTGATGAAGCTTACTATCTGAACACGCTACCTGTACTAAGACTGACTGTAGCTTTTGTCATCAATAACAGCAATTTAGTGGCCTTCTCTGAGGCAGCTAGATGATGTAAGTGTGGGACAGAGGACAGGACCTCCACTGGCTTCCATACTGATGCTGAGCTCTGAGGTGATCCAGTCCAAATTTACCATCTGTTTCCAAGTAACATCTCTTCAGAAGCATTTTCATCATCCCTGGCATTATTAACAGAGGAAATAACACTAAGAGATTTTTATTTTTCCACTTCTTATCTTGAAACTACAAGGGAGGAAAAGGCAAATCATCTATTGGAGATAGATTTGAAACCAAGCGGAGCCTGGGCTAATTCTGTTTTTAATAGTCAAGAAGATTGCTGTATTCACTTCATTTGCTCTTATTATCCAGCACCATGTGCCAAGCTGACAGTTTCCAAATGGAGGGTAAAAATGCGTAAGAAACATGTAAAATGTCAACAAAAATCAATAAGGCACAGTTTATGCATTTGCCACAATTTCATATATGCAGAACTTTTTAAAGTAACTTAGTGAGAAAGATACAGCAATTATCAGGCCTCAGAAGAGAAGTATTACCAATAGAACAATAAAATTCTGTTTCTATAAACTCAAATCATTGCCCTTTCCTCTAACAACCGTGCAATTAAAAACATGACTGATGCTTGTAATTATATAATCCTTACCCCACCCAAAAAAATGATCTGACACATCTGAGGACTTCTTTAACCTTTTAATTCTATTGGCAGTGGTGCAGTAAGACAGAAGCTGTCTCCTTAGGGGTTTCTGTCAAGTTCTGCATTGTGTGCTGTGTTCAATTACTTGAGAAAAAAATTACAGTGTCATTTATAAAGTGGGAGTGCATGTTGAAAAATGTCACTCTCTGTGTCACTCGGGATGAAGTCAAGCAACTTCAGAGTCAACTGTTTCTTGCAATGGTAGCTTGTTAACCACTGTAATTTCTCTAAAACAGGAGGTCACGGTAAGTCCTATGGATAGATTTTTAGTTTTTGTTTCAACACCACTGAAAACACATGGGTGGCTTTAGGATTAGGCCTCCAATGTATGGCTTTATACTAACACAGGATCATGTAAGTCCCTACCGTTAAGACTGGCTGCTGGCTTTTTCTCTCAAGCCAACCAGAAGGCTTTCCATTGGACAGAAATAACCTGGGTTGTAACTGTCCCCTTTCTACTAAAAATGAGCTTCTGGGTGCGGTGGTGTTCACTGGGTCTTTACAGGACAACTGCTCTGATCCTGTAGGGTCAGCCCTTAACTATTCTAGACTGTTGAATGTCAGGTCTCAGCAATCAGCAATTTGGCTACTGACCCAAATGCCGGAGAAACAAGGCTGGGGGGAAAATATACAGGTATCAAAATAATGAAGCCATACTTCTTTCTTTTTTGGTGGGGAGGGAGTTTTGGTAAGACAACATGTATATTACTCTCTGAAAACCTCCACATATATAGCAGCAAAAAAAAATCCAACTGTAAATTTGGCCAACCTGCAATTTACCTTTGCAATTATTTATTATCCCTACTTTCAGAATGTTACGAATTGCTAACAGAAATGAAAGGAGCTGCATTCCTCTCATTTCAGTGAGGTTACCTTCTTGCTGCTAAAACAGATAAATGATTGACTGGGGAAAGGTTTCTGAAAGTAATTTCCTCCTACAGACAAGATCTAAGGAAAGCACGTAGCCCTGTCACAGAGAAGATTTTGGAACACACCTATTACACTTGTCATTTCAATTGAAAGGATATCTTAACTCAGGTGTTCCACCTTTTTTCTTAGCTGCAAGAGAACTGAGAACTAGATGAATTCTTGCTCTGCACCAAAAAAAAAAAAAAAAAAAAAAAAAAAGTAAAGCCACTTTTAAAAGCATGAACAATGCCAGGGCCTCTTGCTTTTCTTTGTTACTTCTTTGAAAAAGGTGTAGTACCCACTATACTTCAAGTGAAAGAAGTATAACTTGTGTAGGACAAAGGAGATTTTAACCTATGGAAAACTTGTTTATAAGTTCCTAGTCAGCCAAAGAAATATCTTAATGCAGTCAATCTTCCTTGTATCTTTTAAGCAGTAGCAACGTTAAACATACGCTATCAATATAATATTGGGGCATAAGAATTAATACTCTGATGGGCCATCCCTGATGCTGAGTTACTTTATTTAAAACTGGCACAGACACATCACTCATTTATGGCATGCGAGGCTGGGTACAGACTAGGACCTACTTAATAGCTGGCAAAATCTCATCACTGAGATAAGATTGGAAGTCTGTATTTGGAACAAGATGGCAAATGCAGTAAGGAGTCAAGGGGGCATGTCGCCAAAGTTCCCACACATCTGAATGTTTAGGTACTGTGTGGGCAGAGCTGAAATGTGTGAAAACTGATTCATTTCTGTGTACATGCTTGTTGTTGTTGTTTTGAGACAGCATCTCGCTGTGTTTGCCCAGGCTGGTCTTGAACTCCCAGGCTCAAGTGGTCCTCCTGCATCAGCCTCCCAAGCACTGTGTACATGTTTTAATAGTCAAAAGCCCATTCCTGTATTCTGATCAGATATGACAAAAACCAATGAGGATTTAATAGCTAAATCCAGTCTGTACTTGCCAACATCCCTGAAAATATTGCCAATTCATTTGTCAAGGGTTTTGGCAGGGGAATGTTGGAACACCATAAACACAGCTGGAATATTCTTAAACAAGCAGAAAGTTACCTTAAATGGCAGTGAAGATTTGCCTACAGTTTGTGGGGGGAAAAAAATTAAACTCCTTTACTGTCTCTGGGTTACAGATATTCAACTGCCACGGTGCAGAAAACCCTGTACCTAAATAGCCCAGGCTGACTGTGGGATTGTGGGTAAGTGAGAGTGTGTGTATTTTAGGAAATCAACATGCTAGGGTGATGCTGTCGATCAAGCACATTTGGCTTAGAAACTTCAGGCTCTGCTTCTGAGAGCAAACACCTCATGTGAATTGCCACATGTGGGCCCATGGCATCCTGCTCCTTTTCTCCATGAAGGCTTCTACAGCAGGCCTGGAGAGGCTGAGCAGCTGCTGCAGAAGGTGCTGAGCATCCCAAAGTTGCTTGAAAGCATCTCAGTGTTTTCCAAATTAGAGAAGATGGCAGAATGGGTTACTTCCCCAAAGGGAGAAACGCATACTGAGATATGGCTACGCTGCCTCAAGCCAGGAAGAGTCCTTGGATCTTCGAGAGGCTCCAGGTGCTTGGCAGGTGTTAGGTGCTTTCCACGTAGAGTCGTGACAATTTCCTGAGGGTGTCTGCCCTGGAACATGGGCTGGGGCCGCTGAGTAAGATGGGATTTTAAAAATACTTTCTTTTCTTGCCAAAAGGTAGATCACGACTTACAAAAAAAAAAAAAAGGCAGTGATTCCGACTGAAAGTATAGCACGACTTGATGGGTACAGCTGTGGGTCAGGGCAGTGTACCTCTCTGACACAGTGGGGGTACTGGGTCAACTAGCCTGGTGAAACCTCAGTGTAACCCCTCTTAGGGAGGACCTGAAACTACTGATGTGGCAGGGAAGAAATGACATTAGAAATCCGCAGGAGCCAGCTAGACTAGTTGCCTCCTTTGTCTTCATCCTCCTAGGTGAACTGGGCAAAAGCAGAAAAAGAAAAGTGAACCGCTCAGCTGCACCCTCTCCCTCACCATAATCCAAGAGTTTGATTTTAAAACTTTCTCACGGAAGAGGGTATACCCTGGTTTTGTGTTAGAAGGTACTGTGCAGAGCAGCCATGCTTTTGTTTCACTTAATTTTTATTTATTTTTAAACAGCTGAGCCAGCAATAGACGCTGAGAACAGAAATGCTGAATGCCCTTTATCTGCAGTGCCACTAATGGGAGACACATTAATATTTGATTCAAAACTGCAATTCTTTAATGAAAGCAAAATGGTAGCATGAAAGAGAATTGTGCTTTTAACAAATACACTGATTCAGGAGCAGGCCCCTGTAGCCAGGAGTCCCTGGGTCCTGCGAATTGAAAAAAGTACCACTGTCTGTCTTCAGTTCTCAGGATAAATGGTTATAAATGAGTATTTTCTTTCTTTCTTATTTTTCTTTTTTTGCAACAGGGAATTCTCATCAGTTCACCAGAAATTACTTTTCTGCTGTTTAAAAAAAAAAAAAACAGATGGGGAGGGAAAAGTTTTCTCCTCTTTCCACTGAGCCAGCGTTTGCATAAAATATTGATGAGACTGCTCCCCATCACTTGTTGCAGGAACAGGCTGCTTCTGGTGTCAAGTGCTGGTTAATCAACCAAATGGCAGATCAAATTAGCTAAGTTCTCTTGTTAAGTACTGCGTGTCCTGCTCTTTCCCATGGAGGTTCTGGCTGCTTTAAAACCTGATCTGCAGAAATAACTGATGTATGCTCAAGGAGCTCTGAACGCTGCAGGCGGCAATCCTGTTCATTACTGTCCCCACTGGACAGACAGAGAAAATGTGCCAGAGAGTCACTGCCTAGATCAGCCAGGCCAGCAGACGGGGAGCAGAAATCAAGCACACATACTGCCCGCCCGGGGTCTCTCCGCTAACACATGCAGAGGGTATGCTCAGACGAAAAGCTAGCACACCAGCCGTGAATGACTCCCTGCAAGAGAAGCAGGGCAGATATAGTTACGGCTGTCATTTACAAATGGGGAAAGCTCAGGACAGAGGTAAGAAAATAAAATGACTAAAGTTCTATTTCATTTCAGTAGAAGTTGTGGGTCTGGAACTTGGGGTCACTGGCCCCTAAGCCATTATAGATTTCGCTATGAGTAATTTAAGGGCTCTCCTTGTGCCGTTTCTCCATACCTTGGAGAATGAAAATTACTACGGTAACACTGAAGTGTGACTGAGAATAACAACAGGAGATAACAGGGATTCTAACTACTAAATTGGCACCAGAAAAGGAATCACAAAAATATGATCACATCTTTCTACATATTTTATTCTTAATTTAGCCACACTGTCTTTTCCCATGGTATTCTCCCTCCTGGCTTGTCTGCTTAAGTGGACATATATATGATGAAGAATTGGACCACCAGGTGTGATTAGAAGGTCTGCTGGTTTGAGCCCCTAGGAAGGCATGCTAGTATCCCTTGGCTGGTGAGGCTGTTTGGGAGCCAGAGGTGGTGCAGTCTGCCACAGCGATGGATGGCTTTGCTTGCCCCTGACGATGGCACAGGTGAAAAACCGCAGAGGAGCCCCGGATACTGGATCTGCTATTCCAGGATCACACTCAATACAGTGACTTGTTCAGCTTTTAGAGAATTACATCTTTTAAGTGAGTGTTATATAACAAAATTTCAGAATTGTTAGAGAATGCATAAACTGATTTCCATGCCGCCTTTTTTTTTTTTTTTTTAAACCACCTTCCGAAGAAAACACAGGAATCAAAAGCTTGGCGTGGTTCCACCGCCTCCTAGTTCTCCTGTAGACTACCTTCATGCTGGGGCTCTGGAGGTGGTTGTAGGTGGGAACTTTTGTTCTCTCGGCCTTCCATTCTAGCAGCTGACATCTTTAAGCTTTATGTTTAAGAATCAAAAGAGCAAATGTTCTTCCTCACATGGTGCTGAAGTCAGGTCAAACTAGTGAGAAGGGTGAAGACGAGTGCTTTCATCCTCATGATCCAATCTTTTCTTTCAACATGTGGTTTGGGGTGCCAGTGCTGGCCCAGAGCCAGAGATTGAGAAGGAAACCAAGTTCCTCATTTGCCCCAAAGAAATTGCACTGGTAACTGCAGTAATAAGAGAATGAAAACCTCTCCATGTTGCTAAGAATATGGATTTCCTGTAAGAAGTGAAAAACACAGGCTGGGTGCGGTGGCTCACGCCTGTAATCCCAGCACTTTGGGAGGCTGAGGCGGGTGGATCACGAGGTCAGGAGATGGAGACCATCGTGGCCAACGTGGTGAAACCCCATGTCTACTAAAATACAAAAGTTGGCCAGGCGTGGTAGCGTGCACCTGTCGTCCCAGCTCCTCGGGAGGCTGAGGCAGGGGAATTGCTTGAACCTGGGAGGTGGAGGCTGCAGTGAGCTGAGATCGCGCCACTGCACTCTGGCCTGGCGACAGAGCAAAAAGAAGTGAAAAACACATTTTATATATACATTTCCACCTTGGACTGACTCAGGGAAGTGCAGTCAGACGAGTGTCAACCTCCAGCGTCAGCCTTTATGAGTGGTTCCAGGAAGGAGGTGTGTGGCATTGTCAAGGGAGAGGCAAACAGGGAAAACAACAGTGATTTCCAACTATTCTGTAAACACCAGCTTATCGTCAAGGCTCTGAGCTACAGCTTCTGCTTCTATCATGGTGGCAAAGAAGTGCCTACAATCTTCTTCAGGGTAAAGTCGCTTTTCTGTCACTTAACGAGTTCCCCTGGCTCAGGACTCCAGGAGTTTTGCTCTTTGAAATAAAACTCTAATACCCCAATACAGGCCCAGTTACCCTACATCCCTATCTGCTCTGCACTACATGTGAACATTGACGCTTTTTTCCCAGTTTGTGTCACTGTACTCTTAACATACTCTTAACATTTCTTTCAGGCACAGGCAGGAAGCCCGAGGACTAAGATGAAAACAACAAATATCCTTTCTCATTTTCTACTTCTCCTTCTTGCACCTCCCCCCACCAAATCCATTTCAATATGAGATTGAAAAGGATGCCTAGCAGTAGGGCAGCCTGTTGGCTTCACACCTGACAGTGATAACTTGAGCTAATATGGTGGCACCAAGGCCTTCTGAACTGGAGAAATAAAAGGTGATGATTTCAGCTATGGTGAAAAGTTCAGGTTGGATAACTTTATCACATGGGATGTATTACAGGGTGACCTCTTGCCGTGTGCGGTGCCTACATCTGTCTCGACTGTGACACAGAGCTCCAATTAGCACTGAAGGGGAGAGGCTTTCCAGACAGCACACTCACCTCGACTCAGCCCATCAGGTCCCCGGAGGATCCGGCATTCTTCTATCTGGCCAAATGGAGAGAACATCACCCTGATGTCGTTCTCATTACATTTCTTCGATACCATTCCTATGAACAATTTTCTGTCTTCCACAGCTAGGAGATAAAAATAACGAATGAGCAAAGGCCATTTCATCTTTTTTTCTTGTAATCAATGCTTCATTACCCCATCAAACCAGGCCCCAGCCATGTGAGACCAAGCACGTGTCCCAAGGCCAACTCTGCAGACGTCCAGCTGTCCTCCTCCCTCCATGCGCCCCACCCTGCCACTCCCTCCCACCTGGTGCTTCCTGAACCCATCTCCCCGTGTGCTTGTGCTTACTAATAAAATGTTTTAATATGACATGTAATGCTGTTAAGTTCTTTTCTCCTATTCAGAAACTAACAGTAATGCGCTGACTAAAATTCCAAAGTACTTGTATAACTGTTCAACACTACCATTCTCTGGGGATATTTTTGGATACAGATTTTATTCTGTTTTTTTTTTTTTTTTTTTTGTAGATGGTCTTTTAACCTGAATGACAGGGACAGAGAAAGGTCAGGAGAGGAAAGACGATGGGGGCAGATGGAGCGAAACAGCGAATGAAACTTTTCACAGAGTATTCGAGGGAAGAAAACATTTTTCTGTTTCAAATAGCTTCATCCCTGCTGATCTAGACAAGAATAAGAGATCAGAGAGATTCTTACGTCTCTGGGGAGCTAGGAAAGTACCTCTTTCCCGTGACACTGGTGATGCAGTGCTAACCAGGTCCCGCACCTGGTTCTAAGCAGCCAGGTTAGTTACCGCTCAACAGGAAGCCGATTCTAGAGAGGAGAACAGGGCGGCTGCTGCTGGAGAAACACCCTGGATGGCCCCGAGCTTCCAGCCCTTCACAAATGATCAAGAAGGAAACAATACTGTACTAGCCACCGGGAGGCAAGATTCTCGGGGAATAAAAGTGCATTTGGGGATCATGAGGACGACACGCAAATTCTAACCTGGGCACCTGACATTGGGGAAGATAAGACACGTTGTACTTCACAGGGCCCGGGAGATTTTCCTCAAAATCTCCATGCTTGTGCTCGGGAAATGTGAACTACTTTCGGCCCGAAAGACGAGGTTAAAACTGATCTCAGGACAGCGTTTGGAGTCCTTTTTAGGAGAGGTGCCTTTTTTTTTTTTTTTTTTAAGGACATCACAGACACCCACGGGGAGAAGTCCTGCTTCTTTTCCATCGTTTCATTTCAATCTATTTCTTAGAATTAAAAAAAAAAAAAAAAGAAGCTAGCCAGCTGCAGCCAGACTGAAGAGTGTCCTGGGCTAGAGGAGGACTCTGCTTTAAGTCACTTGTGCATACCTATTTCTTTTGAATCTGCACTATCATCTTGTCATTCCTATTTAATTGGCTTTTATTTCTGTTTCTTTTATGCCTACCCCGGACAGGAAGTGTCTCATTTTCATTTAGCGAATAGGCAATTATCCCAGACTTACTGGGGCCAGTTCCTTCTGGACGCTAAAGCACACCTCTGTGCTGAGAAGGGGCTGGGGCAGGTGTACTGGTAACAGGTGGGTTCCTCTACCACAGTGCTGTTGACACAGAAACTAAAGCCACATGTGGCTGCTGAGCACTTAAAGGGACTGGTGTGATTGAGGAAGTGCTTTTCTAAAATGTAATTTTAATTAAAGAGCCACACATGATTGCTCCATGAGCCAGCACGGCCCTGAAGGGCCTAGAGGAGACAGCTAAAGGCTCCTCTTCATAGCATCCCAGAGTGGAAGGAAGAGACCTAAGGGAGCTTCTGTCTGTCTCCAAAAGATTTCCCAAGGTCCAGCGGGGGAGGGACCTGCCTAGGGTCATCCAGCCTGGCCCACAGCCTGGAGTCCTCCTCCCAGCCAAGGATTCCTTCCCCTGCTGTGTCTCCTCCAAGTTCAGAGGAGGAGAGAAGGCTTGAAGGGGAGAGCAATGGCGGTGATTAGAAGACCAAGGTTCTAGGTCCGGTGCTGCCATGAGTTTGATATGTGTCTTTGGAGAATAGGCTGACCTCTGAGGACCTCTGTTTTGTCATCCATGGAATGAAAGTTTAGACTCTTTTCTCTCCTAGAAATGGAGAGAAGGTGGCCTGTGACATACTCGGGGTGACTGGGGCTCTTGAGGCAGGGACGGTGAGTGGGGGGTCAGAATCCCTTCCACCCAGCTCTCTCCCCACTGTGACAGCTCCTGGGACACCGCAGAAACTCTAGGGCTCCAAGGAATACAAGTTGAAAGGCACGATTCCACAATACTTGTAAACTACGAATCGTGCACCCAGGTGTTTGAGAAAGGCTCGCTGGGGGATGTGGAATTGAAGCTGGACGAAGGGTCTGGAGAGACTGGAGGTGGGAGAGCAAAGAGGTCCTAACCAGGCAAGGTGCACAGTGCGGGGCAGTAGGGACCTGGCTTGGGTGGATGGCGGAAAGCAGCCCGACCTCAGGATGGCACGCCCCATCTTCCGCTTCATGTGCAGAGAAGGAGCTCAGTGAGGAAAGCATCAGCTGGCCTGAGCCACTGCTTGTGTTCAGACTCGGAGGAGACATGGGCAACAGGCACCCCGGGCTCCAATTCCTGGGAGGGAGACTGCTGAGGACCTGACCTCCTGTACGCTGACGGAAAACTTCTAATTCAAGTTCTTTTTCCTCCCTTCAGAGAAGGCAAAGTAGCATGGATCCGCTGTGAACTGGTGAAGCCTGGTCAGTCATGGGCAGCACAGGCGCGACAGCTAAGCCAGAGAGACACCAGATACCCTGGGCAACGAGTGTACCTGCAGGCCGTCCACACCACCTGCTGCAGGCCGTCTACACCGCCTGTGCTCACTAACATGGGAGGATTCTGGTGGGGGAGGCCCTGTGAGAAAGTGGCATTCCCGTGAACGGGAAGGGGAGAAAAGGAATAGGAAGGGGAGAGATGGGACAGGAAGGGGAGAGATGGGATGGAAAGGGGGTAGAAAAGGGAGAAAAATCAGCAGGACTCCTCCTTCCCTCTCGTCTCCGAGACTCCTACCCCCAGCAAACTATGGCTGGCATTTTTATGAGAGTAAAAATAAAATTCCTGTTGTGTTTCTTCTTACCCTGAACAATCTGGTTTTAGTTCTTTTAAACAAAAGCAAATGAAAAATTCCCACCAAGTCCTTGGTTTCACTGCTAAACCTATAATTATGGTATTTAGCTAAAACAATTTGCAGGTTTTGAGCTTCAGGGAGATGCCATAGTAAATTAACCATGCAGCTCCTGGGTAAGCTTAAAAATGATTTTTTTCCTAAGACGAACATGAAGAAAATGGAAACTACTCATGAAGAAATGCTGACTTCCTAGCCATCACTCAAGGTCAACTCAGCCAG
This sequence comes from Homo sapiens, assembly GCF_000001405.40. NCBI lineage: Eukaryota > Metazoa > Chordata > Mammalia > Primates > Hominidae > Homo > Homo sapiens. The sequence goes on along the minus strand of NC_000010.11, from coordinate 11,254,479 downwards.
GCAACAAGAAGAAAGATAACTCGCACTTTTAAAAATATCAAGTATTAGCCAAGAAAAAAAATGGAAACCTCCATCATCCACGTTATCAAAATGTTAACTTCCATCTGTGTGTGTGGCGTGTGAGCGCACCTGTGCGTGTGCACAGAAGTGCTGGGCTTTGGGAATCTCTTACTAGCCAAAGTTGCTCCGTGGTTTCAACAGTTGGGCTGTGTTTGCTTTAAAGGCAATATGGGGAATACTGAACACACCCGGCTTTCTTCTGAGTTTTTTTGGTTTTCCAGTGACAAGTTAGTCATACAATTCATCCCCCAAATTCCCATTCTGAGGGTCCCTAACAGCTTTGTAAACATTCTACAAGAACACAGTTATTTTGAGTTCACTTAACTTTTTTATCAACTTTTGATGACCGTCTTGGTGAGTTTTTCCTGAGTATTCACGGGCACTAAGTATCTCACTTATTTTTTCAACCTACAGGAAAGTCAGTTTAAATGAAACGCACTGTGTTCACAGTATTCTGCTAGGTGCTTTAAGGAATTAAAAAACCAAAACCAAAACAAAACAAAACAAAAAAACACTTGAAGGGTAAAAGTCATTTTCCATGACGGACACTGAATAAGGGCAGGGAAATGCTTTTACACATGAAGTGCTGCACAGATGGGGTCCCCCGTGATTAGTAACGACGACCACAGAATCAAAAGGGGTTCCACACCAGCAGCCATTTGAAGTCTACCTTCCATGATATGATGAGAATGGGTTAATACTTTAAATACACGGGGTGACTTTTTTAAGTTAGGGGAATAGAAACTTCATTTAAAAAAAAAATCTCTAATTGTAAGTCTGCGCTAACACCCGCGTGTACAATCTGTCAAAGTCACACCTGGATTTGGGGCTGCCTGAATTAATTAACAACTTTTCAATGTGTTAGTGCTAACATATGGCATTTAATTACTGCCTCCAAATCTGTAAGTCTCTCCACTTTGAATTTCAAAATTATTTCTTCATCTTCCCGTGAATCAGAAAGTGACTGGATGGAGCCACCCCATGATTCCTATTTTTAATGGAGGCTTTGCAGGTCTGCACCCTCTGCTGATGATATTTAGTTATCTTGACTGCTGCTAGCTCTGAACTTGACACCTGGACACTGGAGGTTTTGGAGGCCTTGAGAGAGACACACACAGCAGGCTTAAGTGACATTTCTGGGTTCTAGGCGTTAAAGACCCCCAGCAAATTGTGAGGTTGGAGGGTTAAAGCAGGATGGATGGATTTACGCTCTGTATATAGAGTAAAAACAACAAGCAACTTCCCTTGCGGCAAGAGGCAAAGACATCAGAGTGAGCACAGCTCCAGCCTCTGAGACCAGACCCAGAACCGAAGCAGCTTCTGTTTGTATCACTCACTGCCAGCCTAACTTCAGCAACTGCTTGTGACTTTCAGTACTGCACAGCTGGTACCTCGTTGGGCACAGCAATAGAGGATTAAAAGCTGGATGGCATAGAGGATGAAAGAGGGTTAAGTATGTTTCTGCTCGTTTATGATGGAGGATGAAATCCACACCTCCTCAAAAGCCCTGCCTGTCCCGCCATTTGTCTTTCTGCAATGGAAAAATAACAAAAAAGGCGGATTCTGTTGGAAGGTGGGTGGTTTACTCAGTGTGCTCCTCTTAGCAGCCCCAGCAGTTTTTGCTTCTCCAGAGTGGGATTATTTTCCTTTTGGACAACCTGGCTCTGTGGGAGCACGTGGATGGAAAACACGATGCCGCGAGCTTCCATCGGTGTGCCAGAGGCTGCAGCTTAAATCAGAGCCAATGGAAAGGGCAGGTTACAGGAAGCCATGGAGACTCGGGAAGTCTGCTCAGTGACATCCCAAAGTGCAGGGCTGATCTGAGCGCAACCTAACGTTTCGGGGCTCACCCCAGAGGTTCCCTCTCTCAGAATCGCTCGATGGACGAAAGCTGCCAAGGGTGACTGCTTTTCTGGAGTTCACCTGTCCATCATGAATTAATCCATGATTAGCAGCTCTTTCTGGCTCAGCACATACAAAGTTTTAGAAATCTGAACACAGTGATAATGAAGACAGTAACTGTCTAACTGTGATGAGTCCTTTGTGCTATCCATAAATGTCAGCAAACTCAATAAAAGTGCAATTAGAGCTCGTTATACTTCTTTCAAAACTACAGGAGCTATTTAGAGCAACTGAGCCAAAGAAATCTTTGTGCTCTTTGAGCTTTTGAAACTATGCTTACCTGTCAAAAATGCCATGTGAAATTAGAAAAGGCTTGTGGCTTTTATCACTCGCTTTAGAAAACTACATATTCCTCCTGATTCCTCCATCAGGTCCAAAGAGAACCTCGAAGCTGTTCATGTCTGTGCAAGGTGAGGTTCCATTTGGGCCTCTGGAAAGAAAAGCCATTTAAAAGCAGCCTTCCGCTCATTTATATTTTTGGACTTTTCTTACTGAAAATTCAGAAAATGAAGGTCAATCCGCAAAGCAAAAGGAGCACTGGCCCAACTAGAAGACTTGGGGGTTTTGATTTGTACATACAGAGCTATGCTTCGGTATAAACAGCCCAGGCCTGGACAGGCCGGCCTCTGCTGCTCAGAGTGCACTGAAAAGGCTGCCTCGGTGAGTGGAATAACAGTGTTAACTTAGCAGAACTTAGCACACTGGATACTTGCTACGTGCCGGGTATTATGCTGAGCTCTTTATAGACGTTAACTTATGTAAACCTCAAATAACCTTGTAAGACGGGCATTACAACAAGTGTTCAGATGACACCACTGTAGCCCCCTCTCACAGCTGAAGAGACACTGATGCTGAGTAAGGTTAAATAACTTGCCCAAGGACAAAACCAACAAGCGTGGAGTCGGGTCAAATCCAGGCTTCTCCAAATAGTTCATAACTGCTACCCCAGGCTGCTGCTTGAAAAACAGCATTTTCAGGTAACCGTCTTATCCTAGAAATAACGGTGCCCGGTCCTCCTTGGCTTCTGTGATCATGCAACATTGGGTGTGCCCATGACAGTTTTATTATGTGCTGTGATTCTAGACCCAAAGCAAATGTGATTCTCAGGGACCACAGTGGACACTGGACAGAAAGAACAACAAAACACTCTGCAAACTCCTGGCAGCTGCCTGTAGAAAGGGTTCTCTGAGGCAAATGAATACCTGCACAGCAGAAAATGCAAAAAAAAAAAAAAAAAAAAAAAAAAATCCCTTTGTGTTTCAGTACTGGGATATTTCAGGTCAAATGTTTTCAATTTGGCTAATTTGTCATGTTTCTATATCTACAACCAAAGGTTCAGAAGTGAGACAAACCCTTTTCCATAGACTTTCACTTCATGGTCCTTGTCCTGAATACTCTAAATACAGTTTAGAGTATCATGGAGCCAAAGGCAGGGAACATTTCTTGGTGGCCACACACTCTGAGATGACTTGTACCAACAGGATTCATCCCAAAATACAAGAGTCATCTCTCGTGTCTCCCACCAAGGAAGTCATCAGACTGCAAGCACGCACCTCTGGAGCACAAGGGCTGAAAGGAGCCCGCCTGGGTGAAGTGGTCTTCTTCCCAGGCCAGCACGCTCCATGGAGAGCCTGCAGAGGCCAGGAGACCACCTCTGGGTGCAAACAGTAATCAACATTTCATAGAGGCATTCTATCATTACAGAGACTGTTACAAACACCTTATTTGAGTCTTGGGCTCAGGGGAAGGCAACTTAGGTGAGACAGTTACCATCAATTCCATTTTACAACTGCAGAAATCCAAGTTCAATGTTTAAGTGACTTCTGGATACTTAAATCAGTAGACTGAATGTCAGTTCTACAAGGTCAGAGACACAGTCTCTTGGGGTCTTTTCTTCTTCCTTTTTCTATTCAGTGCTGCAGCCCCAGCTCCTAGCAACATGCGTGGCACACGGTAACTGATGAACAACTGCTGACTACAGGAGTGGCGTGGCTCACTCACAGGGCCACAGAGCAGCAGCGGATTTGACAACTTCTGGTGCTAAGTGTCATGTTTGTGATAAAGCAGTAGAGAAAAAAACGAATTAACCCTAAGTAAAGTGCAGGGCTGAGGAGAAGACAGTGGTTAAAGCACCAAAGTCTCCTCCTAGAGAGAGAAAAGCTATTTTTTTATTTTCTTTATTTATATATCTATGTTGCCCAGGCTGGCCTTGAACTCCTGGGCTCAAGGGATCCTCCTGCCTTGGCCTCCTGAGCAGCTTCAACTACAGGTATGGGCCGCTGCCTTCTGCTGAAAGCTGAGAGAAGAAAGCTCTGACAAGTCGGGTGCTGGCAGCACCATGCTATGACTTGGAATTTTCTTCAAAACTTTCTATTCTGTGGAGAAGCCAGAAAATGGAATGCACTACAATTAGCAAAAAATACCTTGTGGAGAGATTTAGAGCCCAATCATAATTTACATTTGCAGATACGTAGATCTCTAAGTGCATGGCTTCTGCCCTGATTACTAATTAATGAGGTGCAAAACTGCCTGCTGGAAGGAAACAGTACTGATTATGTCAGTCTTATGGGACAGAGCAGCTCTCCAGTCTAGGATGGTAGAAGATTCTTTTAACATACATTTCAGTAAATTAAAAGTACAAAAAAGGGACAGAAGGTTCGCTGAAAGGGAACAAAAACTTAAAAGAGGGAAATGTGGCTATCAACTCTCTCATGTCTCGAATAGGCAAAACCCAATTGTTTATGGACCTCATCAAATGCAGATTTTTGCACCAAGTGTACGCTTATTTAATCAGCAGACTGAACTCTGAATTCTGATGCAAATGCATTGGAGCAATTTAGAGAAGAGTACAATAAGGTAGTCTCCAAGTCCAAAAGAAACACATGCAAAAGGTAAAAAAACAAAAACCAACGCCCCTCCCCCACCCACAGAAAGCCTAATTCTTCATGGGCAATTCCTTTCCTGCAGACGTCCTCTGGATCCCCATGAGATGTCCCTGTATTGCTTTGTTGGAGGAGACAGGAACCAAATGCCACAGGGTCCCTATACAGGGCAAGTCCCAAAGAGAAGGACACAGAAAGCCACTGCTTGTAACAGCCTCATACATCTTTACGCCAGAGATCATCAACAGGACAGGAGAGAGGAGAGTGGCGAGTGCATTACTCCAGACACACAGGCCACAGAGAAGATTCCAGGAGCAGCGCTCTCTGTCCTCTAGAGAGAAAAGCAGCTGGGCCGGCTTCTCCCGCCCCCAACTGACTTTGTAATTTAAAGCAGCAGATATTATTATTAAGCAAGACAGTTGGTTACCACCTACCGTTGGACTTTTCACTATCTGCAGGTTTCATCTGAATGGGATGATGCATCTAAAAACACAAAAGGGAGAAAGTAAAGGCAGATTGAACAACTGTAAAAATCATCTCAGAAATCTGCAGCAATTCGATTACTGATACTGTTTTAAGGGCACATAAGTGACAACAAGACTTCTCCAGGTACTATTAACTATGTTAAAAAGTAAGCCTGTATTTTCTGTTCGGGAATCAAACCCTTTGAAGTCACGGGGCCCTGTAACACAGAACATATTTAAAAGCTTGGGCTCTGCAGTCAGACTTCAGTGTGAAACCTGGTTCTGCCACTCGATATGATTTCTGCCTCTATGTTACAGGCAATTCTGCTCCTGCCATTTATTACAGCCATGCAATCTCGAGCAAGTGTCTCAACTTCTCTGAGCTTTGGTCTCCTCATCTGTGAGATGGAGGTAACACCTGAATTGTAAGGCTGTCAGAATTAAACGAGAAAATGCATGTAAAGTGCTTCATAAGTAGAGGCTAAGATGCGTTGAAAATAACTTAGCTATTGTTATTGTATCATTATAAAAATTATTATAAAATTAAATCATGCAGACTTTTCTGGCCATCCTATGTTTGTCACATAGGTTTTTCTTAGGCCTCATGAGTAATTTGAAGGTCTAGCAGTTGACTGACTTTGGTATCAGTATATAATTTTTATTAAATGCTAATACAAATACAGAATACGAACAAAGAGCCACTGAAGAATGGAAGGAAGGATGGAAGGAAGGATGGAGAGGAGGAGGGTGGAAGGGAGGGAGACACCTTCTGATCATGTCCAGTACATGACAGGAGTAGAAAGGACTAGACACAGCGGGGCCGAGGTCCTGAGCTACAGTGGACCCGGGGGACCCATGGCTCTTCCTAAAGTGCCCATCACACCCGGTGCCTGGTCCGCAGAGCATGCTCCAAGCACACAATGCTGCCACCATTACCAATTAGAATCAATTCCTCAAACCACCTCCAAAGGTCCTCCTGCTTCACATTTCATTGCACCCTGAGGAACACAGGAGCCACGGGGTGGAAGGAATCACTGGCTGCGCAAATGCTTTCATTATAATGGGTCCCATTCTCTCGGCACCTTTCATTTCCCCAGTGGACTTCCATCACTTGCAAGCCACAGCTCTGGGTTTTATCTAATTTCAATGAAAGGGAAATGGCACTTGGCTCTGATACTTTCATCATGGGAAATTATCATCAGGCAGTCAGGATCACGTGCACCTAATGCCGGCCTGGGTCTTCAGAACAGAGGAGGAGGGAGAAGAAAGAGGCTAAGTGAGCTGCCTCTTCAAAAGCAGGACAAGTCACCTGTGGAAAGCCATGAGTTGGGCTGAGGAATGTGACCTCTATCCTATAGAAATGGAGAGAAGGACCAGCAACATGCCTGGGGGAGATGGGCAGAGTCTTTGAGCAAGCGATCCTCCCAGCATGCATCTGTCTGGTTGTCCAGCAGGTATGGAGCAAACAGGTACCCTATGTCAGTCTCTAGGCCAAAAACTGGGAACAAAGGCCAGTGAAGAAGGTCCTCCCTTCAGGTGCTCAGTGTGGCAGGGGTGGGATGGCGGGCATGGGATGGCGGGCATAGGATGGAGGGGGTGGGATGGCAGGGGCAGGAGAGACACTGAGCCCTCAGCCGGTAAGCACCCTGGCAAGCATGTGGGGAGAGGCAGGACAGAGCCCACAGGGGTCCAGGGGTGTGGGACTTAATCCTGCCTGGCGAGGAAAGCCAAGGCTGCATCTGGGCCGAGTCCTTGGACGTGCGAGCACTGAAGGGGGGCCGGCATGTGAAACTCACGGGGCAGCCCCGCAGTGACCCAGGAAGTGGAAGGGTGACAGTTCCCTCTCACAGGGAGCTCCCAGTGTGAGCATGGAGGACCACGGGAAGGGGCGGTGAAGGTGGGCAACACCCAGCTCTCAGAGGGTCTTGCAAGCTAAGGAACTGAAATTTTGTCTGAAAGTATGTGGTCAGGTACAGAAGAAGTAACAAAGGAAACAAGATCGAAATTCTAGAAAAGCCATTTTGGCTGCCGTGTGGAGGGTGGATTACAGACGAGAGACACAGGCAGGGAGGACAGTTAAGAGGCTGCTGCCGCAGGCCAGGGAACACTGGTGGAGGCTGAACTTCATGGCGACTGGCTGGTTGTGGGGATGGTGGAGAAGGGGAACTCCAGGTCTGTACAACCAGGTGACTGTGGGATGACTGCCCGAATGGGGAAAGCATGAGCAAAGAGTTTCAGAGGCGGCTGACGAGCGCAGGTCTGGACATGCTAAGGTTGATGTGACTGTGGGGTACAGACAGAAGTTGTAATCATGGGGCTCAGGCTCGAGAGACGGGCCAGGGCCACAGAGAATGTTCCTTAGCGTGACAGTGAAGCCACAGGTATGCGCGAAGCTGTCAGCGAGGGAAAGAAGGGTGCAAAGAGCTGAGAGCCGAGGACAGAACTGCAGAGAATACCAGGAAAGAGGAGTCCAAGGAGAGCAGAGTGAGGGGCAGGAGGAGCTGCAGGAGCAACTGGTCCCATGGGAGCCATGAGAGGAGAGGAGTTTCCAGAATGAGGGAGAATCAGGCCACAGCAAACACTGTGAGAGGCCAAAGAATTTGGATCTGGCAATAAAAAATTCTTCACGGGATTTATCAGAAGTAGGTTCTGTGGAGGGGCAGTGAACAACTGGTCATGGGAAGTAGAGGGGAAAGGAGGAGGGTAACAGTAGATAGGGTGAATGAGGGCTTCTTCTATTTTGAGGTCACCTGCAAAGGGAGTTCAACAGGAAGCTCAGTGGAGGATGGGGGCCACCCATCTGTCCTTTCAAGACAGGAAAGACTTATACAGGTTCATCTGCTGAAAAGAGTCCACTGAGATTCACAGGTTCAAGATATGGGAGAGATGAGGTGAGCGCACCTACATTATGCCTGGGACACAAAAATGAAATGAACATGGCTCCTGCCCACAGGGAGTGTGCAGTCTATCATGGCGGTCGATACGCATCCACATAAAAAACAGGGACAAACAGAAGAGCACAAATAGAGCACTGTGAGCATTCAGATGCATCTGTGAAATGCGTGGATGATGGCAGGTGGAAATTCGGGAGCAGCAAAAACAGAGCCCCTATACTCTAAAGCTGTAAAGGACCCTGGAAATCACGCAGTCAGTGCTCTCGGCTGACAGGTATGAAGGGAATAAGTGACTGCATAGACACAGGTGATTAACGACAGAGCTGGGATCACACAACTCTAATATCTCCACTCTTAATCTGGTGATGCCTCCCCTAAACCACACTGCTTCTCCATAAAATGTCCAATGTGGGACTTGGCCATATGAGCCTTCGGTTAAGAACGGCATGCTTCACTCACTGAAGAGGGCAGACACACACTCGTCTAAAGGCACCTGCAATATCCCTAGGGGAAAGTAATCTTCCCTTCCCCCCAACTCCTGTAGGACCTGATCTCTATAGCTGTATGACTCATATGACACCAAGACTGCACCCTTAGCATTCGTGCAGCTGCTCAGAGAATTGGCTTGTGCTGCCGTAAGACTCTTCAGAAGGCTCTGCGAAGCAGCAGTGATGGTGATAACTCAGCTACTGCCACTGCACACCTGAACTTTGTTTTGCTCTTTCCTGGGCTCAGCAGGGGAAAAATCAACTTCGCAGAGCCGTGGATTGTCAGACCATGGTGAATTCTGAATAGATGGTCACCCCACTTCAGGTATGTTCTGAAGACAAGCTAGATAATGTATGCAAAGCACTGTGACCTTCTTAGAGAAAGGTGTTCAATCAGGACTGTATTAATAATGGCTCATTACCATGAACAGTTCATTTGAGTTACAGATTTCTGATCACATACAAGATGTAAATGTCAAGGAAGACAAAAAAATGGGTGGGAGGAGTCATTGTCATAATACTGTTTCACTTCCTCAAAATCTTCCGACTCCCAGAACTTTGGGAGATTTCTTGAGAAGTTATTATAAAAGAGTAGACATTCTAGTTCAAAGTTTTAAAGTATAAGGATGGAAAAAGAATTCTTTCCCTGTAACAGAAATGGTTTCAATGATTTGACCCAGTATGACTGCTCGTTTATTCACGTGTTTCTGTTTTTACCAGACACTATATGTTAGATGCTGGGAAGAGGAGGATGAGAAGGGGTTCTCATTGTGATGGAGCTTGCAGTGTGGTAGGAGAGACAGATACAGCAAGCATTTCCCACAGCGTGATAAGAGACGTGGTAAGAGCTGTACGGTGCGAACTCAGAGAAGAGACACCAGACACAGATGGAGGAAGGACACGCTGGGGAAGGCGTCTCAGATGAAGCTATGTCTGCATTCATTCTCAAAGCAATCCTCATGTTAACCGGAAGATGTGGAAAGGACATTTCAGGGAAAAGAACAATTTATTTGGAGGCACAGAATAAGAGAAAATAGGCCCTACTGTTGATCAAGAACAATGATACGATATCCTAACCAACAGAGGAAGCAACGGAAGTTGTTGTTGTTTTTATGCTGTTTTTTTTTTTTTGAGACGGAGTCTTGCTCTGTCACCTAGGCTGGATGGAGTGCAGTGGCATGATCTCGGCTCACTGAAAGCTCTGCCTCCCGGGTTCATGCCATTCTCCTGCCTCAGCCTCCTGAGTAGCTGGGACTACAGGCGCCCGCCACCACGCCCAACTAATTTTCTTTGTATTTTTAGCAGAGACAGGGTTTCACCATGTTAGCCACGATGGTCTCGATCTCCTGACCTTGGGATCCACCCACCTCGGCCTCCCAAAGTGCTGGGATTATAGGCGTGAGCCACCACGCCCGGCCAATGGAAGTTGTTAAAAAGAACATTCACCGAAAACAAGACACCTAAAGCACAAGACTAACAGTGAGGGATATGTTCATAGGCTGGACAATTTCAAGTAAAAAGAAACAATGCCCATCTACTCACTCCTGAATGAAATCTTCCCTAGGTGCCAGGACAGGCGGCAGCCAGTGGCCACACCCTGAGCACCCTTCTCAAGAGCTAATGATGAAATGAGTGGGGTCAGAACTGTTGCTTCTCAACTGCTTCCCCATGACTAGGGACCCTGGCCCTCCCTGCTGCCAGAGCTAGATGGGGCTGGAGGCAGGATCTCATGCTGTGCCCTGCACATGCCTGCAGGTCCCAGTAGACAGCAGGAGACGGGGGAGGGCCCAGGTGATGTGGTGGTCGCTAATTCAATCTACCTACTGTGTGGCTAGGGTCAGGGCTGAGGCTAGTTCCCAGGGGCCACCTCCTTCCTCTGTCTATGACAAGGGAGTACACGATCTTCCAGAATTTTTGCAAGGAGTCTCTGAAGAGACGTGTGCTAATTAAACTGAGGCTGCATCTCCAGCCACACAGAATGGGAAGTTTTAATTCAGGAGTGAGTATTTTTCAGACACAGTATGGGCTGTATCTAAAAAAATCTTCAGTGGTCTGTGCTGTCATGATCTGTCTATGCTGTTCGACGAGTCTAAGAATTTTACAAACACCAGCCTCTGACTTTACAGAGTGGTTTTCCTGAGTCACGATGAAACAATTAATGAGTCTATTACTTATGTTCATCTCAGCTGCACTTGCAGCAAGCCTGGAAGACGACAGGAGATCTCTGGTCCTCTCACGCAAGGCCGCAGCATGCTTGTGGGGAAATGGCAGGAGCATGAGTTTTGGAAATAGATCCTGTTGATGGGAGTAAACGGGATGTCACACATTTCTTCAAGTTCACATTGCTATCAAGAAAGGCTTCTAAACCCATTCATGTGAAGATTTCCTTGATGGTACATGAATTTTTAGAAGCTTTTTTTTTTTTTTTTTGAATAACATTTTGCCTAAAGCCGCACGTTAAGGTACATGGTTAACTTCTTGGTCTCTATTTAGCCCTATTTGTTTAAAAACCAGTGAAACATAGCGAAAGGGGAAATTTCAAAGGCTCCTTCCCTTTCTCCCTCCCGGGGAGAAGGAACTAGAGTCAAGCGCGGTCCCAAGAAGGCATCTGCTGAAGCTCTGTTGCTGCTGTGTACTAAGAATCAGCGTCCTATGCACAATGAAGGTGGAGCTCATGGAGGGGAGCATCTCGGCACACAGAGATATAGTCCTTCAGGGGTCTGCTTGGGCTTTCAGTGAGCTGGAGCTTCTTGAGGGAAGGCCCCTGGCCCACTGTCCCTTCTACCCCAAAGCTAAGCTTCTGCACCCACGACAGCACGCAGTGGTTTGGTTCTGACCCAGCACCAGTTGCCACCGGCGCCTCCGTCCCTGTCGCCCTGGTAGGAGCCATCTGTTGGTGGCGGACCACACAAGCCTCCCAGCATCAGGCCTCCCCCTTCGTCCCACCTCCTGGGGATAAGCAGCCCATGGTCCTCCCACCTCTTCTCCCTCCCTACACACACACAGGGTCCCAGAGCTGAGTGGTCCACCCTGGTCCTCACCCTGGCTGGCCTGTGACTGGACCTGATGCCCCTCACTCCTGAGTAAGCTGACCTTCGATTCTTCCCACAAGGCCCCAGCTGTGACTCATGAAAATGAAAATGAGAGTACGACTTTGGAGCAAAGCCATTTCTCAAGTCTGAGGGGTAAGTGCATGCACAGAGCGCTGCACACAGCTCTGCCAACAGCTGTCACCACCTGGTGCCGCCGTGAAGCTGGCCACGGAGCAGCTGCACCCAGCAGCTATACTCTCCAGAGTCGCCACTATGGACACAACCTCGTGGGGCTCTCTGAAGCCCTCTGCCTCGGTGGGTCTCTGCTGTAGGAAGGGAGGGTTCCGAGCCAACACAGGCCTAGTCTGGAGACAGAGTCCTGGGGGAAGGAAGCAGCTGCGGGCAGGGGGCACAGCTGGCTCCTCACACACAGGAGAACTCATGTTGGAACTTGTTGAACCCCAGCCATCACCAATTGATGAGTTAACCACCTTTAACATGAGATTCAATAAAACATGCCATTTTTAACCTGAAATGGGTTTTTACAGAGTCACTGTTACGCATCTCATTATTAAACCCATCCTGACCCCTGGAGAGAGCAGCCGTGCTAGCACATATTGTGAGCTTACTGCCCATAAAATATTTAAAAGTAGAGAGAGGGGATGGAAAGAAGTGAATTCACGAAAGAGCTATGTGCCAACTGAGAAAACGAAAATATTATGGCCAGTAAAGACCCACTGGTATTTTTCTTTCATTCCATGACAACACAAAAATCATCCATGGAGAATACTTGTGTCTCGCTTGTATATTGACTATGAAACGCCAAAGGCACCTGTACTTTCTGAATTTTTCTCTAAAAAAATTTGGGAATGCTAAAAACAAGTTTCAAAAGATTTGCCACCAACTGGAGGCCCATCATCCCCTCAAATGAAAGACAGCATGCCCCACCACGAGACCTTCTATTACATAGGAAGACACCCCCAACCCACACAGGTTTGCCTGTCTCCCTCATGAGTGACTCTAATTCCAGCCACTGTTCTATTATGCTCCTGATAGCAGAGATGGGGAATAATCAAAAATAGCTTTAGGGATGGTGACTTAGGAACATCAATCAGCACTAAAGAAGAACCTTCAAATTAAAAAAATAAAAACAAAACACTAACACTACGGTAAACTTGCTAAGATATCTTTAATAGAAGGACATCTCTAAAAGAATACAGATGACAAAAATAATCTGTCAGATCAATAACAAGCAGCTGGCCCAGCGCGGTCACTCACACCTGTAATCCCAGCACTTTGGGAGGCCAAGGTGGGTGGATCACTTCAGGTCAGGAGGTTGAGACCAGCCTAGCCAACATGGTGAAACTCTGTCTCTACTAAAAATACAAAAATTAGCTGGGCATGGTGGCGCACACCTGTAATCCCAGCTACTTGGGAGACTGAGGCAGGAGAATCGCTTGAACCTGGGAGGAAGAGGTTGCAGTAAGCCCAAACTGTGCCCCTGCACTCCAGCTTGGGTAACAGAGCAAGACCCTGTTTCAAAAAATAAATAACAAGCAGTTTTTATCACTGGGACAAAGCCATATCTGGAGGTCATAACTATTCCTGATAAGTGGAATGGAGCCTTTAGACAACTGCTGTCAACACAGAGGAAGCCTCCCCTTCGCCGTCACTCTACAGGCTCTTTATGCATGGTCATTAACTGAATTTTGACAAGAGCCCCAGAAATCGGTACCTATGAGGAACCCAGGCAGAGAGAGGCTAAATAACTTGGCCGAGTCAGACAGCAAGCAGGTGGCAGAGCAGGGATTCGAATCCAGGTCTGTCCGGTGGGAGCACAAGCCTGAGGCCTCTACCCCACGCCGCCTGTCATGTGCATCCACACAGTTGTGGTGTAAATAAGTTTGGGGTTTCTAAGAATCTGTAACATTACCATAATTTCCCTCTTCCACGCTACACATAAAGATTGCCTCCACCTACAGGCTTCTTTCCAATGAGGAACTCATACTTTATATGTGTGTGCAGTATACCTGTGTATTTGCATATACACATACAATGTTTTAACAATTAGCCCAAGAACAAAAATTACTGTTTGGGTTTTATGAAAAGGGCAGGAAAGAAATAAAAACATGTAATGAAAAAAAAAATAGCTTTAGAGTCAGGCCAGGGAAGTGTAGCCCCGGCTAATTTGCCATTCGACTAACAAGGACAGAGCTAAATCTATGCTTGGATCCAGAGGTTCAAAACTCACACAGTGGATTAGACTCTGAGGTTTCTTTCACAGGGCCAGCTGTCTGAAATGTTCTACATAGACGCTGAGAAGTGTGAGAGGAAACAATGGTTGTGAATCACTGACGTTAATTGATCTTACATTTTGTGGTGTATTCACAAACTGATAGTGCAAAAAAGTACACTGGAATCTATAAAACGAATCAAAGTGAAGACCACTCATTGTTGGGTGAACAATCATTCATGTCAAAAGGCCCTACTATGTGGCTTTATGTTAACTGCCTGGATTATGCAAGGTCTATTTATCTGAACACTGCTTTGGAAATTCGGGAAAAAACTGTTACCCTCTGAAGATGCCAATTCCATGATGGAGGCAGAATATATGGCATTTACCTAACCTCCAAGTCTCAGCGCTATTTCAAGTTGTTCTTTTACATATCACGATTAACATAGTAGGCACACAAAAAACTTTTTTTGAGATGGAGTTTTGCTCTTGTTGCCCAGGCTGTAATGCAATGGCATGACGTTAGCTCACTGCAACCTCTGCCTCTCGGTTCAAGCGATTCTCCTGCCTTAGCCTCCCGAATAGCTGGGATTACAGGCGCCTGCACCAGGCCTGGCTAATTTTTTGTATTTTTGTAGAGACGGGGTTTCACCATGTTGGCCAGGTTGGTCTCAAACTCCTAAGATGATCCACCTGCCTAGGCCTCCCAAAGTGCTGAGATTACAGGCACGACCCACTGTGCCTTGTCAGAAAACTTTCAATCACCATTTGCTGACATAATTTTATAAAAGTGATCTAAGCCAGTTTAAAAAAAAAAGTGGATTTGAGTTTGGTAACAACAAAGAAACAGAAGTGATCCTTATCTCATATCCCCTTCTCCCAACCAGGGGAAAAAAACTACAGTGGAAATAAATTACAACTTTTTCCTGATAGCCATGATGTGTGTGACACACTTAAAACACTGATGGCACAGTAAGTGCCCGCTACAGTTGTCATCATCATCCTCTTCATTATTATTTTGCAAAGTATAGGAGCTTCCCTGAGGGGAAGGAGACAAGGTCCCATCTGAAAGCTAAGAGAACACATTGGAGAGAATGGCCTTTCTCGGTCACCTGGGATATATACAGCCAGCAGTGCTCAACTCCACAGGCTAATAATCTAGTGATGGAGAAAAACTGCAGAACCCAGGATTATATATCTGATTTTGGCTTATCAGGCTCCAAATCAGCCTTTGTGCTGTAAAGATACCACCTATTTACATTTCCATTAAAATCACGTCGTACACCAAAGGGGAAAAAACAAGCAACAAAGCCATTTAGTCCTGGCAAAAAATAAAATAAAATAAAATATTGCAGGAAAACTAGATTACTCTGGGTGGAATTCTATGAGGGAATTTGGAGTCTGTTATGGTGATTAAGTCATCATTTCTGACAGATTACTCTAATCGGCTGTCAGACAGCATTCCACAACCCCATCTGTAACTTGGCATCCTAGTTCCTCAGCCTATGTTACCTCCTGTATATAAAACACACACCAAACAAGAGAAGGTACAGCCTAGCATTTATCACACTCGTTAGCTGTGATTAGGTTCTGTGTTTTCATACTAAATAATAACACAAGCTTTCATTTTGCTTTATTTAATGTTAAAATTAGAAGAAAAATGAATAGGCTTAAAATAGGAGGCACGGACCATGAATGAAAAATAACAGCTATGATCAAAGTGTGAGTGTGCCGCTTTCAGAAGCACTGCTACTCAAAAAAATGGCAATCTTTTCTTAGTTCAATTTTTCTTAGAAATATTTTTACTATATTAGTGATAAAGATGAATAAACTGATGCCGTTTTTTAACCTTCCCATTAGATGTGGCACCCAACTAGCTATCATCTCAGTAGAAGGTACTGTCACTGTGTTTAGCAATGTTATTGTGAACAGGAAATTTATTTGATAATACTTTAGTTCTTCCCTTTATGTCAATGCACCTTTGTGATATAAGAAGCAATGAATCCAGTCAGTTGAGCTCCCAAATAAATACAAAGCAAAACTAGTTTTTATTTAAAAGTTTATACCTAGGTTTGTCTGGAATCCTTTGCTTAGATCTATGTTTTAATAGCAAGAAACTAGAGGGTATAAAACAATTTTGAAAATGGAGATAAATGGAAAGATTCAACGTATGAAAAGCCTTATAGGATTATAGTGCTGCTAAGGCTGTACTATGACAGCTACAATTACAACAAAAGACCACGAGAATTGTGTGCGACACTCGGAAGATCACAATCACTACTGATTAATGAGCTCAAATTAAGAGAAAGGTAATAATCTTCCCTTATCACTAAGTGGGAAGTATACTGACATCCTCTCAGCCATGATTCCTTTCTGACTTGTGGAACTGTCTTCCGAAGTCAATGATGGGCGCTCCAATACTCATTCTTCCAGATGTTCTCCAGATCTTACCCAGGCGCTAAATCAGACAAGCTGCCCAACTGAGCAATGCAAAATACACACTGAAATGATAATGCCTGACCTGGCCATTAAAGGCGACTAAAGGCGTGGTTTAATTACCTGGTGGCTCATTTACATTTCCAATCCTAGATTCTATTAGGTTTGTACGAAAGTGATTGTGGTTTTTACCATTACTTTCAATAACATATACCGACAAACAGTATTCTCTCATATTTTAAGAGAAACGAGTTGTGGTTTAACAACAAATCATCCTTGTGACATTTGTCTCTGGCCGTGACGCTGCCTGGGGCCTCAGTGCTCCCTCAGCCTTCGGTGCCCTCCCCAGTGCCAGCTGTTGTCAGGTGGGGCTCACTGTGACTCAGTTCTCGACATCTTGGGAACTGGGATGAACAAAGCCCCAAAAGCCAGTGAGTGGCTGACCCCCAGCCTCCCTTGTAACCCTCACCCAGTGTGGAGATGCTAGTGGGGCTGAAGCAGCCCTTGCACCTGGGCTCCCCTTGACGACCTGGTACATGTGCTGGCCTCAAATTGGGAACAAGTCTCCTCACCTGGATCTTCTGAGCCTCTTTGCAGGGCTCGACTCTGTCCACCCTGATCTCTTACACTGCTTCCCAGGATGACCTACTACTCAGACTCTTCCAGCCACACTCCTGCCTCACCCCATAGGAAATGACCTGAATCTGGGTACCCCACAGAGAACTTGAGAAGCTGGACAGAGACCACGGCTTATGGGGACATCAACCCCGGGATGGGGGCAGCTCTTCCAGCTTCTCAGACCTCTCACCTAACACTCTGGCGTGGCTCTAAATTTGCTTAATTTTCTACCCCTTGAAATCCTCAGTTTAGCTCTCTCTCTCTCTCCTAATTTCTTTTCCTTCTCATAGACTTTTCTATTTCCACGGCTACAGCCCTAGTGAGGTTTTCATTCCTGCTCACCTGGATCCCCGAAACAGCCTCCTCACCAGTTCTGGTCATTGCCTTCCATCTTCTACACCATTGCCTTTTTAATCTGTCTAAAACTCAGTCTAGAAATTTTTCTCCCCCACTCAAAGACTTTGACTTATCTACCAAATTAATATCCAGCTCCTTGGCATGTATTTCAGGGAATTCCATGCTTTGACCCTCAGCTCTCTTTTCAGGCCTATTTCGCATTATTCCATCACTCTCTCTTCTAGTGGAATCAGGCAACCCCCTATTCCATGAACTTCTGCTGTGTGTTTATCCACACAACGGCACAATGACCCTTCTCATGCACGTACACACGTATTTCCTTTGCCAATCTAACTGTTCTACATTTATTATACAGAAACAGCTATACTTCAAGTTAGGTTGGGTAATTGCTGTGAAATTGCCGTTTTTGTAGTTTTTTAAAAACATGGGTTAATAGTGACCGTTTCATATGGTTCAACCTTATATATTGCATACGAATGAAACCACATTCTCTTCTTTTCAGATAACTCATTAAAAGGTCCAAGAAGTTCCACTTTTGTAGACTTTCTTTTTTAAGGTTTGGAAAGCTATCCAGTAATTCATCTGCAGTATTTACTAGTTTCAATTCAAGTTAAACAGTGACTTGATGACTTAAAACAACACTACCCTCTAAACAAACCACAGAATTGATGAGTGTTTCCTGCACAACGCAAGGCATCCTCCATCCACTCCAGGCAGCTTCAATGCTCTGTTAATGTTATTGATGCTTATCCAGTAATCTCTAGTTTCCTTTGAACTTTAAGACAATCTAAAGCCACCACAAGAATACCCCTCTAACAAGCAAATCTTTAAAATCTCTGGTTCAAAACTAACTTGGAAAATTTAAGCCGATTGTATTTTATCTTGAACCTTCTGACAGGATACGGGCATTTCATGAAATCAATGGAAAAGCACTACTGAATTTCGTATTCTAATGATCCTCCCATAGCTTAGTTTATGAGTCCTGAGTTGTCTGAGTTGCTTTGCCAGCCACGTTTATTAATTAGTGTCTAACATTTCCACCTCTCTGCAAGTTGCAACCTCTCATAAAAAATGTATGATTTCATTGGTTTAGGAATGACAACTTCATTTACGACAGACACATAAATACCACACCTCACTCAGCAATCTTTTTCCATTCATTTACCTCCATGGCCTTTGGGAGTTGTACTGAGTGAATGAAAACATAACTAGGGTAATTCCCCATTCTTACTCACGTTTAAGCAAAAATGATTAAATATCTGTTTTTTTCCTTTTAAACAAACAAGGCTGTCCCCCCACCCCCCAAAAAAAACTTCTCTCCTAAAAATAAATGGCAAGTTTTACAAAGTGCCTTAAGGGCTATTTCTTATTACCCATGTTTAAAATGCAAATCCATTAAACATCTGAGCAAGACATCAGATATTGTTTTCAGCAGCTACATTTATTCATCTCGTCTTCCATAGTTGCACTGACTTTGCTTGGTATTTTGCTAAACAAAGAGCTCTCCTCCAGCGTTGCTCAGTCTTCATGAGTTTGAGTTTAATTTCACTCATTTTGATTTCTACCTTCTATTCTAATGTGTGAGATTGTTCACCAACTTTGGAAAATACTGGTTGGTAGAGCTTAGAGAAATTATGACTAAGGTTCAATTGTTCTATAAATATGCTTATCTTCAAGTTCAATCTTTTAAAGAGAAAATTCAAGGATTAGGCCTTCAGATATACCGCACGTAACTGAAATTGAAATGGCAAAGGTAAACACAGATGAGGAATATGTGAGACAAGCATGTGGGAGAGATTTTATGTTAAGGAGTAAAGCAAGAACTCTTTATTGACAGCACTTGACCTGTGGTGACATAGCTTCTACTTTCATAATTTCTAACAACTGTGGAAATGTAGCATTTAATGGGGACTTGCGAAGCTTGCCTCTTTATGTTTGCTTTGTTTTTTTTGTCTTTATGTCTGTTTTGTTTTTGTCTTTATGTTTGTTTTTTGTTAGTGGAAAGAACATCACAGAAGCGTAAGGTCTGAGTTTGAATGCTGACTCTGCCAATTCCAAGTATGTGAGTCAAGTTGCTTGACCTCGTTAAAACTTGGTAAACTCATGTTTGAAGCAGGGATTGTACCAGAAAACTCACTGCATCATTGTGAGGACTGAATAAGAAAATATATATGAAAGTACACAGTAAAATGTAAAGTGACGTAGGGATTGTCAACCCTCTTCTTCATTCAGTTAAGGATTATAATTAGAGTAAAAAGTGCCTTTTTAACTCTGCAGGGCTTCCTGTCTCTACTGCGTTTGTTGTCTGTGGAGGGCGGATCTACCTGATGGAAAGGATTGCGATGGGGATGAGGGGATCAAGATCTCCCTGCCTCCTCTCACCCCCACCCACCAGTTTGTAAAGAACTTGAATTTTTTTTTTTTTTTTTTTTTTGAGATGGAGTCTCACTGTCACCCAGGCTGGAGTGCAGTGGCGCGATCTCGGCTCACTGCAGGCTCCGCCCCCCGGGTTCACGCCATTCTCCTGCCTCAACCTCCCGATTAGCTGGGACTACAGGTGCCCGCCACCTCATCTGGCTAATTTTTTGTATTTTTAGTAGAGATGGGGTTTCACCGTGTTAGCTAGGATGGTCTCCGTCTCCTGACCTCGTGATCCACCCGCCTCGGCCTCCCAAAGTCCTGGGATTATAGGCGTGAGCCACCGCGCCCAGCCAGAACTTGAATTTTTTTTATGTTGAAAGAGTGTCTATGAATAAAAGCTGTTCTTCAGAGTTCATCTATTCAACAAACATTTGTTGAGCACTATCTATGGTGTGAGGTGTTAAGCCGGGCTCTGACAATGTTCCCTCTCAAGGAGTTTGGAGCTCAGAACAGGAGCAGCTGAGACCTCAGCCATGGAGGGGAATGAAGAACAGCAGGTGACAGGATAAATTGAACCATGTGACACAGTAAATTACAATGAAGCAATGTTCACCTCTACCTTCCCAGGATAAGACACCAAATGTGTGTCTCGTATCATACAGCTGGGACACAGCACATGAGCAAAAATGTCCCAGAAGCTGAAGAAAAAGGTAGGGGCACAGTATAGAGCGTGGATCTCACCCTTCAAACTCAGCAGTCACATCTGATTTTTCTGATACAAGATGCAGCAATGTTCACATATGCCTGTGGGTGTAGGGGGTGATGTACAACTCTGGCACACCCACCTCTCCCATTCTAGAGAGCATCTAGAATACTAGGAAGCATGGGGATTACAGGGATAACCTCCCAAATCCCCTCACCCTTGCTGTGCCTTTATTACCCCTAATGACAACTGGTGAGTCCCAACTTGATAAAGACGGAGCAATTCTAGAGGTGCCATTAAGGTAGCATCCCGGTATCTTCACTGTTGGAGGTTGGGGGTTAGAAAGGTGAAGTGTATGTAGGAAGAGGAGATGAGGAAGACCATTTCTTGCGTTTGGCTTTGGCTGACCCACCAATTCACTTAAGATGGGCAATACAGGAGGAAGACCTGGTTAATAGTAATTTTAGTACTGGAATTTCCTGTAGACCATTTGAATGGATCTGTTCAATAGCAGATACTGGGTATCTAAGTCTGGGGTTTAGCAGAGAAGCCCGATTTTCAGATAAACATTTGGCTGGCAGCAGCCTGTAGAGGTAGCGGAAGCCTGGGATCACTGGGACCTAAAGAAATCACGCGGCGTGAGAAGAAAGCAGTGAAAACAGAACTCGGGGCATGTCAGTGTTTAAAGGGCAGCATTTGATCACACCCTTTACTTGCAGTCTCTGAAAAAGTACACCCAAGTTCCTGTAACTTAGGAGACAGCGTTTGTTTCTCCTGCGTGTGTGAAAGCCCATGGCGTAAGGTGTCTTTTTCTCTTTTTCCCTCAGCTCTGCTCCAATCCAGCCTCTTCAACATTCTGAGCTGTAGCCCAGGCCCAATCTGCCCTTTTAAAAATCAGTGTTGGGCCTGAACAGCTGGTGTATTTACTCTTTCATTAGTTAGAATTTTACTGAATTCTAGGTAGGTTTTCTTTCCCAGTAAATCTTAATGTACAGTGGACATGTTTAATAGCCACATTACAATGAAACTTACAGAGTGTGCCATGTTTAGAGAACAGAGTCAAGATAAAATGCCTATGAACACATCCAAGGAGTCCAAGCTATAGTGTCTGCTAACCAAATGCTGTCAAGAGGCTGAAGATCATGACTAAACAAGACTCCGGGATGCTGCTCTGGGAATTGGGAACCTGGCACAATTGACTCTGACAGCCTCATGACAGTCCCGCCACATATGCAGCATGCTCTGCCATTTTTCTTCTCCCATCCATGAATGTGGGCTATCTCCTATCCATGAATGTGGGCCATCTCCTATCCATGAATGTGGGCTAACTCCTCTGAAGCAGATTATGTAAAAATATAGCGTGGTGTGTCCTTGAAATCAGTACCATGCAACATCATCAAGGCAACATCATCAAGGCACATCTCAGGAGGAGCTACAAAGATCACCCCAAGAACTCAAACATCTTCAGCACTGCTCTTTCCCTTCTTTCCGAGCCATAGATTTTACCATTCGTCAACTGGACTGAGTCCAGAGCTCATTTCCACTAATGAGTGGATGCTGTGATTGTGATCACTTGGTCCTGTGGCTGTGTGAGTTACTCACTTCTATTTTTTCCCCCCAAGATCACGGGTGAAGGAGACTCGAGTCATCTGACTCAGAGACAAAGTTGTCACTGATGAGAAAACAATGAGGCTTATGAGTCTCCAAAAATGTGTCACTGAGAGATAGAAGCTATTTTTTAGCCCCGACTACATTAATTCAGCTCTAATCAGATACTGAAACAACAGAAATGAGTACAGGAATGTGAGAATGAAAGACAGCACTCATAGGTGGGAACTGAACAATGAGAACACATGGACACAGGAAGGGGAACATCACACACCGGGGCCTGTTGTGGGGTGGGGGGAGAGGGGAGGGATAGCATTAGGAGATATACCTAATGTTAACTGACGAGTTAATGGGTGCAGCACACCAACATGGCACATGTATACATAAGTAACAAACCTGCACGTTGTGCACATGTACCCTAAAACTTAAAGTATAATAAAAAAAAAGATGGGGCGGTGGTACTTAACACTAATAATACATGAATGCAAAGGTAAAATTTGATTTTCTCTTTTGAACACAATTTTTATGTAATATTGAGATGATGAAAGATTTTAATTTATTTTTTTATTTTTTATTTTTTTGCCTTTGAGTGCACTGCAGGTAAAATGGAGAGAAGAGAGGGGAAAGAGAAGAGACAGGATCAGGTTCAGTTGACCTCATGCTGTCTTTATTGAGTCCCGTTGTTTGGAAAGCTGTCTCCTCTATCAAAGACTAAACGTTTCTTGCCTTTTTGGGAAAAAAAAAAAAAAAAGAAAGCAACCATATACAAACTAAGTAAACAGGATTTTTTTTTTTCTGAAGAGTTAATCATTTGGTTGCAATGAGCAAAATGGACACAATGTGTGTGCTTCTGTAAGTTCTGCAGGAACCCTGGTCCTTTTTATCTTCCAGCCCACATACTCCTTCCGGATCCCCTTCTCTGCTCAGGGCTGACACCCCATCAAGCAGATATGATACCCTAGCTTGTCTCCTCCCCTGGGTATATGCTCTCTCTTGTCTTGCCCCACTCTGCTTCCTGTTCCACAAGGATCTTCTAATCACTTTGTTTCTTATTTGGTCGCCCAACTGCAGCTCACTCTTTGATGCTGGTCTAATAAGCAGCAGCTGCTGATTTAGGCAAACGCTGACCATGGTTAAGTTCAGGTTTTATGCAGCAACAAATGATTTTGTCCTTACAGACTACAATCCAGGATGTTTGTTGTAGCTACAATAATTAGGAATAACCCACAATGTGAAAAACTTCTCCAGATTCACAAGAAGGAAGAATGAAAAACAAGAACTCAGAACTCACTCAAGGGGAAATCTTACACTGTTCAGGGCAGATGACATTCTTTTTAAGCCTCCCAAATTGCAAAAACATACATAGACCCAGCATCCCTCATCAGGCAATAGTATATTCCACTCTAGCATTCATGTGGTAGTTACATTTTCTTTGTCAGCAAAAGTCTCTCAAGCTGCGGATAGCAAGAGACACAGGGTAATAAATGCTTTGCTTTCCTGGTAACGAATTTCGAGTCCGTGAATGATGAAACAGCAGGACTCTACACTCCGATGCTTTCTGCAAGGTGGAAATGAGCTGCTGAGTATTACAGATTAACTCTTTGTGGCAGAAAATTGTTCCTCATGCTTTAGAATTAGCTTGTTCTGGCCAGAAAAACTGTGCTTAAAATAGCAGCATTTCCATTCATCCCCTTACAGTCTGACACACATTAATTCTATGTAAGTCCCACTCAGAGATTTCCCACAATTTAGAGGATGGTTGGGAGGGAAAAACCCAGTTGCTCATTCAAGGATGCTGGAAAAACCAGCATGTCCTCACATCTCCATTTACTTTCTCACCTCCTGTCCTCCATAGTCAGGCTGCCCTACTCCACCCCACCTTCAGAATGTCTGGAAGGAAACAGGGAGGGTGGCAGCCTCTCCAGAGGATCTCTCTTGACTTTGGTACTCAGATGAGGGAACACAGCAACCCAGCACTTGCGAGAAGTGTGTGTGCACACACAAACGGGGTTGCCCTACAGTGCACCCTGTGAGGGACTCCCAGGGAAAGAGCATCGGAGAGGACCGGTTCTACAGAACAGCACTTCTCAAACTTTGCTATGTATCCATGTCACCCAGGATTCAGTATTTTCAATTAAAAAAAAAATTAATTTTTTCAGAGTGATGTTCTGACACACAGACGCACTGTGAAATGATGATCACAATCAAGCTAGTTAACGTATCTGTCACCTCACATGATTATTTCTGTGTGAACGTGTAAGACCCAGGGATCTAGTTCAAATGCAGGTCCTGGGGGAGGGCCTGCAAGGCTGCACTTCTAACACTTTCTCAGATGACGTGACTGCTGCTTGAGTACCAAGACTCCAGTGTACCTGTGGGAAGATGATGAGCAGGTCAGAGTCAGTGCCTGTACATCCAGATGAAAGCGGAAGATGAAAACAAGTTATGTCACCACCACCTAGCCCTTGGGGTCAACATTGGTTCATTCTCTTAACAGAAGTTCTAAAACTTGCCTGCACACTGGAATCATTTGGGAAGCTGTAAAAATACTAGGCTGGGCATGGTGGCTCAGGCCTGTAATCCCAGCTCTTTGAGAGGCTGAGGTGGGTGGATCACTTGAGGTTAGGAGTTCAAGACTAGCCTGGCTAACATGGCAAAACCCTGTCTCTGCTAAAAATATAAAACTTAGCTGGATGTGGTGGCACATGCCTATAATCCCAGCTACTTGGGAGGCTGAGGCAGGAGAATCATGTGAACCTGGGAGGTGGAGGTTGCAGTGAGCCAAGATTGCGCCACTGCACTCCAGCCAACAGAGCGAGACTGTCTCAAAAAAAAAAAAAAAATACTGATGCCAGACTCTCATCCCAAGTGAGTCTTATTTGGCTGTGGTGTGGCCTGGGCATACACAGTTTTAAAAGCTCCCGAGGGATTCTATTCCTGTGCAGCTGAGGCTGAGAATCACTGCCCCGGTTTTATATGCAAATGGACTGAAGTACAAAGGACCGCTTTCCTTTGTCTTCATCGGTTCTTTATAAGTTCATCTACTGCACATATCATTTTGGGTAGATGGCCAGGAAGAATCTTATTAGGTTTCTGGGTCTTTCCCAGAGAATGGAAATGAGAAAAAGAAAACACCAAGTTCAACAGCCTCAAGTCATGGAATGAAATGCTACACACAGACTGGAAATTTGGATTCTGGATTTCTGATTCTTTAAGGTGACATGCTTGGCATAACCTTGCAGAGAAATCACGGGGGCATGGTTTGCTGAAAAGAGCAACAGGCTCGGAGTTAGGAGATGTGATCTGTACTCACCCCAGCACTGACTGGTGTGACCTTCAGCATCTCACCTGTCCTCCCACCTTCCTGGGCTCCAGCTTCCTCATCTATCAAGTGAGGAGCTTGGACAGGACGTGCTTCTAGGGTCTGTGATCTATAATTCCATCCGGCCTACTTTCCTGCACAGGTCCTTTCTTCCTCTGTTGACCCACATAACATTCAAAGAAACCAGAACCGACTGAAATCAGCTACAGGATTTCCTGGGCTTTTGATTCTCTCTTAAGTATTTTCCTTACTGATGATACTTAGTTTTTGTCAGTGACCTGCAGAGTTTTTAAAATCTTGGTAACTCTGCCTTAGGAGTGATTCAGGTTAACTCAGTGACTGAGATTCTCAAATGATAAAATGGTGGTTCCAAGTTTTTTTTTTTTTTTTTTTTTTTTTTTGCGAGGGGCGCGGGTGGGGGTTGTGATTATAGTGCCTCTATGAGCTGCAGAAGACACCAAAGAACTAGTCAAAATCTAGGCTAATGCTTCCACACCTACTTAAATGACACCTTACAAATATTAGTAAATTGTAAGTCAGATATTAGCAATGTAAGGAAGACAGGATGAGCTTAGCTTCAGTTAACTGAAAGGTCTCTTTCTTATCATACTTGTATCTAGTTAAAATAGGTAGATTATTACCCATAAAAGATACTCACTGATGTATCATTAAAGAAATGTTCTCTAAGAGGTGTAGCCACTTTCACTTTCTTGAATGTAGAACAATAGGCTTCTAGTTGAAAAGGCAAACAGGTAAGGAAGACAAATTACTACCTTATTTGTTTTTTATGTGAGATCAAGTATATATAAAGTTCTTGGCATAGTTCTGAGGACATAGTAAACACTCAATAGCTGTTAACTGTTACCACTACTTTTAATACTTGAACATTTAGTGTTATTTCATTAAAATTACTTGAATTCTGAAAGCTACTGATAGATATCCATTATGTAGACAAAACATTTATAAGCCAAAATATGCTAGAAACATCCTGAGGTTCTGTGACTACTGTTCTGACATTTACTAAGCATATAACATATATAGAATGACAGCAATTCATTTTCTCTTTCCTAATCCCTGTGACTTCTTGACTACACTGAGCCCCATATGCTACTTAATGTGAAATACCTGCACAGTTTCCTGGCAGGTATTTAAATACACACTCTTCTGAGGAAACAATAATACCGTGTATGTGCTGGTGAGTACACAAAGTGTGGAATGTCACAGATTAAAATACACCCAGCGACCCACAGTCACTCAGTTAAGCCTCCAGGAGAGGAGATGAGTTTGCAGGAGCCTATCCTTTGCTCTCACTCGGTACCCTCGTCCCTGATGCGTGACAGTGTTGTAGAAAGTGCCAGCCTACAGGTGGCAAATAACCACCTGGTCTAACCCAAGCTGCCAGAGGCCACCATGACATCATGAGCTCTGACTGTTGTAACTAAGATAGAGGTAGCCTGAGCTTCCACCTCATGATACATCTCTATCCCTTAGATTCCGGCCGAATCTAACAGCAGATAACAGCAAAAACCACAATGTGATGGCTAGACAGAGCCAACCCAGAACTGGCCCTAATATCGCAGCCAGTGCTCAGCCTTTGATCCTAACTGGCCTAGGAATGTCCAAGCTTCCAGCACTTCATGCAGAGGCACCCCTGGCACCCATCCTCCTTTGCCTTGACTTTGCTGTGATGCGGAGAGCAGCAGCGCTGTCTCATGGGGCCGTGTTCATCCTGCTGTGCCATCTGTGGCGTGGGCTGCCTGGTTCTACCTCTCAGTGCCCTGGTTTGTGGTGGTGAGTCTGGTCCCTTGTCGGCAGCAGCAGATTCAGAAGCTTAGATGGTTATGCAGACTTGACTGCTTGGACCATCACTTCCTCATTAGTAAAACAACAGGGTAGAACAGTTCCTTTCTAAAGGCCTCCAGGAGTTTTCAGGGCAGGAGGGTGTGATGATGGCAGGCAGGTTGAGGTTTCCGTTTGTTTCACAACCTCGGCCTCTTGTCCTGCTGCCTAAAGCTTGGGGTTGCAGGTAACAGAGTCCTGCTCACTCTTCCAGGGTGAGCCTCCATACTTGCCCTTCCCCTGTCTGTGGAACACGGAAGCAGAGCAATGGCGAGGACAGTTGGACGGAGCTGGGCATTAAAATGCAGATTGTGGATTGGGACTGAAAGCCTGTGGATGCAGATAAAGAAATGCACCCTAATAACATGAATGTCAATGCGATGATGCTGCTGAAGAAAGATGGTGCATTTATAATCACTTTCGCAAAGCAGTACCTCTTACAGTGATGACTGTCTTTGATCTATCACTTCCTCTTAGAAAGCTCCGTGTTAGTAACTTCACACCCAAAAGTCTCTAGCAAATACCTTGCCTCGCTCGCTGAATGTTTTTCAGGACCTGTGCAAGGGAACATGGCTTCCCACCTTGGGCACAGCCGCTGCCAGGTGCCCCGATGCCCCTGCTGTGGCAGGGCCAGCTCGTGTGTGTGTGTGTGTGTGTGTGTGTGTGTGTGTGTGTGTGTGGCCACTGCCTGCCCAGCTGACTTCTAGGTTCATGCTGCTGCACCCTGTCAGCAGGTCCATGCCATCTGACACAGCCAGAACTGTCATGGTCCTGCTGTTCCACATCTATGACGAGCTGCAGGAGTGGGGCAGGACTGAGGATTTAGATTTACCTTGTGACAGTGCCAAAGGGGCAAATGTGGTCCTTCTGAGGCCCTCCACCTGCCAGGACCACTTGCCGGGACCGGCAAGCCTGCACCAACACACAGCAGAATGGAAAGTTCCTTGGCTTAGAGTCCAGACATACTGGTTCTACCCAACTGCCTGTAAAGTCAGGTGCCAGCTGTTTAACCCCAAACAAGTTACTCATCTTCTTTGAGTTTCAGCTTCCTTGTCAGTAAAACAGGGTATACAACAGATGTCCTGTGGAGTTGTGAAAATTAAACTACAGCCATGGAGCCTCCCCATGGCAACCCATAAAGAGGAGCTACTTCCTTCACGGTGACTGTTCCCGTTGTGCTGTGCTGGCCTCTTAAGCCACGCCCATTCCACCCTACAATGCAGTGAGCATGACACCTAAATCCACCACCACGAGGCCAACCCAACTGGGCAGTCCTAGAAATGACGACTTCTAATTCCAGTTCCATCACTGCTTTGCTTAGGGAGGTCAGAGAAGTTAATTTAATCTCTGGCACTTCAGAGATGTCCTCAGTGTAACAAGGTGAATGCTATCGATACATCACCTGAAATATTTTTAGAAGGGATAACAAATAAACAACTCTATAAAGCCATTTACAAACACAGAGGAGTCACTTACCCATGTTAGCTGAGGACAGGAATCAAATAGATAAAAAAATCCACCAAAAATCCTGAAACCTCATTAGGTTAAATACCCTTTCTTGTCAAACCAGGGCTGTACACAAGGAAATAAACTGACTCGTTCGAGTCCATCCCCTTGCCCTTTCTTTTCTCCATTTCCCGGTGGAAAAATTATGAGTACTAAGCTCCCTGTTGGTTCTCAACCAGAGAGGAAAGCAGATGCCCAGACAATCTCAAAGGGTATAGTCAAAGCTTGAATAATCCACGTTTGTCTACGTGAAGTACTCTAAAATGACTAACCCATCACAGAACCAAGTTAAGTCACAGTGTAGAGATTTTCGTTAAATAGGACATGACCACAGACAATGCATGGACAGCAAAGAAGAGTTTTGCAAGATTGGAAAGGGCCACTCAGTCCAACCATTTTTGTTTTGCAGATCAAGTACAGAGGGCATTGCAAGCGTTTTTAAGGCTGGAGGAGGAGGGGATGGCAGCACAAATGTGTGTTTTGAGTGTTAATGGGAAGTAATGACAGGCAGGGACAATGAGGACCATGAAAGAGAGCCTTTGTCACAGTGTCCCTTTCTGCGATCTCCACACGCACCGTTTACTGTTTATTCTTTCATCTCTGCGGCTGGTGGGCAGTGAGAGTGGTGAGGGTACGGGCCTGAAATATTCCTTCATTATCAAACCAACTTCAACAGCTTATGTCATACTACTAATGAGACTTCCCAGGCACCTGTATGCTATGACCATTTATGGTTGAAACGAGCAGAGGGACAGACGAAACTTCTTTCCCTCCCCACACCGCCCTCCTGTAAGTGTCCAGCGCGCTTCCCTGCACAAACCAGACCATATCCGGCAGAGCCCTGACTCCCTCTGATCCTGGCCTTGGCTCTCCCCAGCTCAGCCATTCCCTATTTCCTAGTGTGTGGGGGAAGAACCTTGGTGTTCCTGGGAGAACTCTCTCCACATCTACCCATGCTGTATGCTTTTTGTGTGGCCTAAAGCTCCAGGCTCCGAACTCACGAGCGCACTTCACCTGGACATCATCTCCTGAGTTACGCTCAGCTGATGTCAAAGATTAAAGATCTGTCCAGCCAGATATGATATTCTCAGAGATGAGTTCTCATGGAAACCCTATACGCTAATGACAGAATTTGGACAATTTTCTAGGTGTATATCAAACTTCTCCTTTCATCATTTGATTATCATGGCTCACCTCCTTCCTCTGTAATTCCATGCAGACCTTTAATCAAATTCATGGATCCCCCGCCTCCCCCACAATCTTCTTTTGAAATCCTATCAACCTTTTGGGAACTAAGGTCGACGTAAGTGAACTGCATATTCCCAGTTTAATCTTGGGCTGTCGTAGAGAAATGATTATCTCTGAAATCTAACTATGGCTTCATTTTGCCATTGTACCATCCTACCATCCCCTCACAAGATACTAATGAGATACCAGTATCCCTCAAGCAATGACACAAGGCACTTTTGCAAATCTGATCAGGCACCAGTACCAGCGCGTTAACATACTTTCTCACACAAGCCCTGGCAACAGTCCTATTAATTAGGGATATAGCTGAGACTACGTTGTTTGCAAAACTAAACATTGCCTTCCACTGGGTTCTGAGGCCAAAAGTGGTGTGGCTATTCCCTACTGTAATCCTGTGCTGGCATTTTCAACTTTGCACCACTGAAGAATCCTCATACATTTTCTCTCGTACAATTCCTTATACCGAGTAGGCCATGCTTTAAAAATAACTAGTTTTTTATTTTAATCAAAGCCGTACGTAAATAACTGCCCATCAACATTACTGAATCAACAGACTGCCAGCCAAAACCAAAACAACCTGCTATTCAGGTAGTGTGTAAAACTTTATGGCGGGTGAAATAGACAATTTGTAATGGCCTTTTATTAAGCATTAAAATATACTTTCCCATTGCCCTGGGGCCTGGGCCTGCAGAATGGAACTCACTGGGCCCAGGATTTCCTTCCATCCTCCGATATCCTCTCCTGGATCTATACCGCTCAGCTGGGAGCCATCCTGTTGCACCTGGCTGAGCCCGACTTGGGGCTGGGTCTACACTCTGCCCCTACCCCTTTCATACTGCTGTGACTCCTGCAGGGGGAAGGGAGCTTCTGCACCCTCAAGGACTCCTCCGGAGCTCCCCCTGCTACTCTCTGTCACAGTCCTTAAAAAGTCATCTCCAAGAGAAACAAAGTCCTTATTTTGTTTGTTTGGCTTTTATTTGTATGAGATTTGAGTATTATCTGAAAACACAGATGGCAGGGAAATGGCTCCTCCTAGGCAGTCCCATGAGGGCGAATTTCTCAGCCCAGGCCAAATTCTGCAAATGTACATCTGAAGCATCTGCACCAAATGGATGTCCTGACTGACACATTCCGCAGCAGAATACATGTGTGGAATACGTGTATGTTCCACACGTTTGTATGCTGGGGTGCTCCACAAGGAGAGTTCACACCTACACAAATGAGGAGGCAGACACAGTGCCTTTTGAGGCATGTTTCCTCATGGCTCAGGAAGCTCCTCAGGCAGTGCCCCGCTCAGGCCTGACTGTGAGGATGCTGGGAAGCAGAGCTCACCATCATCGCACGGCCATTTCTCAAGCACCCTCTCTAACACGCACCATGAATCTGCCATGATCCGGACTCAAAGCACCCATAAACAAAGAATTATAATTACACCAAGGAACTGAGATCGTTGGTGAAGCCTCAAATAAGAAAGTTCGCTACAAAGTAATTGAGACTAAGCCAGCAGGCTGCACAGAGAACGGGGAGGACTTTAACTTTCATCTTCCTCCATTTATTTGGACTGACATCCACAGGTGTACGTGTGGAAGGTATGTTTATGGGCATATAGACATACACATATATAGATCTGTGTCTATGAAACAATTTGTATCACTAAACACACATACATGTGATAACGTATCTACATTCATTTTATATTTTGGAACATTTGAAATATTTTTAGGCATAATTATCTTTTTTTAGAAAATAAAACTGTAGGCCTTTGGAAATATTTCATTATAAAAACTAACTTATTCGGGCATTCACTATGTAAGAGCTACTTACTAAACACATACCACGTGTAAGCATAGTGGCAGGCTTTGTGGTTTGGTGATTTGGTTATAAAGGGCATGGCTGCTACTACAGTATTCCCTGGTATCTAGAACAGTGCCTGGCAAACAATAAACGTTCAATACATGGTTGCCGAATAAAGAAATGCATCAGCGCTTTGTGTGCCCCGCATGGCACAAGACTTCGAGGACTCAAACCTGTTCATACAGATGTTTCGGTTGTTTTCCATGATAATTTTAAACCAAAGGCATGTGAGAAAAAAATACTCTAACTTGGCCCAGTTAGGCTTTGATTCCAATGGGATGGTTTCAGGAGAAATTTCTCTGACACAGTGAGATGAGGTTTGAGAGATTTTATGGCAAAAATAATAATGATGATGACAATGATAAAATGATGATAATCGTGGCTCTGAGAACAAAGGCATTAATACCTATCACTAAGTAGGAGAGGTGGTTCAAAGAAAATGAACACCTCCAAATGCATTAAAATGGGCAAATGAAATTTGGCCCCAGTGAGAGTCAAGCTTTTTTGCTGAAGAGAGAAACTGCAGCACTCCACTAGGAAAGAACACAGAG